>NC_000010.11:57415822-57567337 GCF_000001405.40 Homo sapiens
TTAAATTAGTCACCTCTTTCCTTGTTTCCTATCACATAGACCCAGAAAATTAACTATGGGAAAATTAATTATAGCACATTAACCAACTGTGCCGTAATTAGCTTTGGATTCTGTCAAGCAACAAAATAGTTTATCTGAAAATGTTCCATGGGAATATTTGTAAAAACCATAAAATCAGTATTTTTATAATATTTGAGAGAGATTTTTGGAGTTTTTCTCTGGAAATACTGCCATGGTGCATTTAAATGAGCTACTTGTGTACTAATTTGCAATAATTTGTATATAAATACATTCTGTTATTGTGCAAAGATTATCTTGCTTTTACAGTAGGTGGAAATGATAATGTGGATTGGTTTCTGATTTTTTTTTTTTTTTGAGATGGGGTCCTGCTCTGTCACCCAGGCTGGAGTGGAGTGGCGTGGTGATCTTGGCTCATTGCAAGCTCCGCCTCCTGGGTCCACACCATTCTCCTGCCTCAGCCTCCTGAGTAGCTGGGATTACAGGCGCCCACTACCACGTCCAGCTAATTTTTTGTATTTTTAGTAGAGACAGGGTTTCACCGTGTTAGCCAAGATAGTCTCGATCTCCTGACCTCGTGATCCGCCCACCTTGGGCTCCCAAAGTGCTGGGATTACAGGCGTGAGCCACCGCGCCTGGATGGTTTCTGACATTTTACATAGTACTGGTGGAAACAAATGAATGAAAATTCGAAGCAAAAATAAATATATTAGAACATTCTATTAGAATACAGATGACCTAATTTTTGGCAGTTCAGCCCTTCTCTATAGAATCTTTTTAAGTTTAGCCAAGTCATTTCATCATTCAGGGTCTCTGGTGTCTCACTTATACAGGCAAAGCGGTTGAAGTGGATCTCTTTAAGAGATTAGATCTTAGGTATCAAAGTCTCAGGATACAAAATCAATGTGCAAAAATCACAAGCATTCCTATACACCAATAACAGACAAACAGAGAGCCAAATCATGACAGAAGTCCCATTCACAAATGCTACAAAGAGAATAAAATACCTAGGAATCCAGCTTACAAAGGATGAGAAAGACCTCTTCAAGGAGAACTACAAACCACTGCTCAACGAAGTAAAAGAGGACACAAACAAATGGAAGAACATTCCATGCTCATGGATAGGAAGAATCAATATCGTGAAAATGGCCATACTGCCCAAGGTAAGTTATAGATTTAATGCCATCCCCATCAAGCTACCAATGACTTTCTTCACAGAATTGGAAAAAACTACTTTAAAGTTCATATGGAACCAAAAAAGAGCCCATATTGCCAAGAAAATCCTAAGCAGAAAGAACAAAGCTGGAGGCATCACACTACCTGATTTCAAACTATACTACAAGGCTACAGTAACCAAAACAGCATGGTACTGGTACTAAAACAGAGAGATAGACAAATGGAACAGAACAGAGAGCCCTCAGAAATAACAGCACACATCTACAACCATCTGATCTTTGACAAACCTTATTAAAACAAGAAATGGGGAAAGGATTCCCTATTTAATAAATGGTGCTGGGAAAACTGGCTAGCCATATGTAGAAAGCTGAAACTGAATCCCTTCCTTACACCTTATACAAAAATTAATTCAAGATGGATTAAAGACTTAAACATTAGACCTAAAACCATAAAAACCCTAGAAGAAAACCTAAGCAATACCAATCAGGACACAGGCATGCCCAAGGACTTCATGACTAAAACACCAAAAGCAAAGTCAACAAAAGCCAAAATAGACAAATGGGATCTAGTTAAACTAAAGAGCTTCTGCACAGCAAAAGAAACTACCATCAGAGTGAACAGGCAACCTACAGAATGGGAGAAATTTTCTGCAATCTACCCATCTGACAAAGGGCTAATATCCAGAATCTACAAACAACTTAAACAAATTTACAAGAAAAAACAACCCCATCAAAAAGTGGGCAAAGGATATGAACAGACACTTCTCAAAAGAAGACATTTATGCAGCCAAAAGACAAATGAAAAAATGCTCATCATCACTGGTCATCAGAGAAATGCAAATCAAAACCACAATGAGATACCACCTCACACCAGTTAGAATGGCGATCATTAAAAAGTCAGGAAACAACAGGTGCTGGAGAGGATGTGTAGAAATAGGAAAGCTTTTACACTGTTGGTGGGAGTGTAAACTAGTTCAACCATTGTGGAAGACAATGTGGTGATTCCTCAAGGATCTAGAGCTAGAAATACCATTTGACCCAGCAATCCCATTACTGGGTATATACCCAAAGGATTATAAATCATGCTGCTATAAAGATACATGCACATGTACGTTTATTGCAGCACTATTCACAATAGCAAAGCCTTGGAACCAATCCAAATGTCCATCAATGAAAAACTGGATTAAGAAAATGTGGCACATATATACCACGGAATACTATGTAGCCATAAAAAAGGATGGGTTCATGTCCTTTGCAGGGACATGGATGAAGCTGGAAGCCATCATTCTGAGCAAACTATCACAAGGACAGAAAACCAAACACCACATGTTCTCACTCATAGGTGGGAATTGAACAATGAGAACACTTGGACACAGGGCGGGGAACATCACACATGGGGGCCTGTCATGGGGTGGAGGGCAGGGGGAGGGATAGCATTAGGAGAAATACCTAGTGTAAATGACGAGTTAATGGGTGCAGCAAACCAACACGGCACATGTATAATTATGTAACAAACCTGCATGTTGTGCACATGTACCCTAGAACTTAAAGTATAATAAAAAAAGAGAGAGATTAGATCTTAGGTATTCTCACCACACACACAGCGATACACACACACACACACACACACGCACAAAAGGTAACTATGTGAACTAATAGATATGTTAATTAGCTTTGTTGTGGTAATTATTTCGCAATATATACATATATCAAAATATGAAGTTATACAACTTAAATATGTATCATTTTTATTAGTGAAGTACCTTGATAAAGCTAAGAAAAAAGTCAGAACTTCAGGCGCTAATATTATAAATCTAGATACAGATTTTATAGTCTATATGTAGCTCCATAAAAATAATTAATTGTAAGAGAACATAGAAAAGTTAAAAAATATTTACAGTAAGTGCATAGAAAATCACCATCTAGACCTGGCAAGTAACACTTTAATATACTTTATCAAATATCTATCAATTCATTGCTATTATTTCATTAATTGATATTTAATGCATTTGTAAGTAAGCTGAAGATATCAGTAAGTTTCCCCTCAAATACTTCAGGGTGCATATCATAAATTTTAGTGAAATATTTGTGTATTGGTTAATTAATTTCTATTTTATGTAAAATTGACATGTAATTGAATATATAAATTATAATTGTATCACTCAATAAATTTTGACAAATACACACACTTACATAATCCAAACCTATATCAAGATATATATATATAATGATTATGAAGCCAGGAATCTTCTTCATGTCCCTTTACCATTAAATTCCTGACATCCAAACCCAGGCAATTATTATGTGTATAGACTGTTTTAGATATAAAACATATATAATGAAATCATGAAGCATTCATTCTTTTGAATAAAGTTTCCTTCACTCAGTGTAGTGTTTTTAATATTCTTCTACATTGTCATATGTATCATAGTTTGATCCTTGTAATGCTGAAATACTATTTCTAAATATGAATATGCCACAGTTCATTTTATTGATGGACACCTGAACTGTTCACAATTTGGGGATATTATGAAAAAGTTTGATGAACATTCTTTTAAGATTCATTTTTGTGGATATATATATAGAAAAGTGAAATTGTTGTGCTATAAGATAGGTAAATGCTTATTTTTTTAATCTGCCATTTGTTTGCAGAAAGATTTGAAGGATAACTTTGCAATAGGAGGAAGGCAGTTTTAGAGTTTGATATAAAGATATGCAGGTAGGAGATAATTGTGAAATTAGTCTGCCAAGAAAACTGCCACAAATGACAAAAATAAAATGTATTTTAATTTTGTCTAAGCTAGTTTGTTAGGAACTGATATATAATAGAACTTAATGATTCAAAATGGAATATTAATATTATCTTGAAAAAATGTCTGGGTAAGGATTAAACTGTACAAGCACCACTCCTGGATGTTCAGATTATAGTGCCCTCCCACATTGCTAATGAGATTATAAGAGATAAGTAACAGGTGAGTCCATGTAATAAACCTTAGTTAGCAGCTCACTTTCTCGTGCCCTAGCTAGTTCTATCCTGATTCAAGATTTAGGCAAGAAGTTGGGGGGAATTTGTGAGATGGACCAAGGGCGAGCTCACAAGGGATGGACCCAGTAGTTAGCAAAGAAAGTATACTGAGATGGTGTGCATGAGTACCTCTTGAGTACAATGCAAGTGTGTTCTTTCTTCGACTTACTTAAAGATAGTCATTTCAAATTAACGAAGCTGTTTTGTGAATTCTTTTTTTGCTCTTTTTTTTTTTTTTTTTTTTTTCCTGAGAAGAGTTTCACTCTTGGCACCCAGATTAGAGTACAGTGGTATGATCTTGGCTCACTGCAGCCTCCACTCCCCAAATTCAAGCAATTCTTTTGCCTCAGCCTCTCAAATATCTGGAATTACAAGCACATGCCACCACACCTGGCTAATGCATTTTTAGTAGAAACGGGGTTTCACCATGTTGGCCAGGCTGATCTTGAACTCCTGACCTCAAGTGGTCCACCCACCTTGGCCTCCCAAAGTGCTGGGATTACAGGCATGAACCATTGCGCCCAGCCTGTTTTGTGAATTCTCGTAGCTTATTTTGTCTGCCTCCTGTTTCCCCTGTTACAAGAAAATAAACCTAATCTAAGAAATAAACAGCAGTTACTCTCCTGGTGGCCTGTGTTAAGTGTCTGGGGATTGTAGAAAGCATTGGAGATGATTAGGGTGCTCCATCACTTCATTCAATCTGCCAAAGAGGGTCAAGCCTTCTTTTTAAGGAGGGAGTGAGAGAAGAAGAATAAGTCAATAAGGTAGAATTACAGTAAAAAAAAAAAAAAAAAAAAAGGAGTAAAATAAATCAAACGTAACTTTAAAAGCAACTGGAAAATTACATTCCAAACAATTGCGGTATCTAAAGCACTCTTTAAACAATCAATAGTAATATCTAGGCAACACTATGCTAAAAAGAACTCCAAAACACTTATAGATTCCTGCACCTTTCAGTTGGGATCTGTGATTTTAGGCCTTTGTCCAGCAACACAATATATTGATTTCATCTCCATTGTCCATGAGGAGCTTTCATTTTCTGAAGAGCACTACTATAGTGTGAATCACAAAGAATCCTGTGATTTGCATAGTTGAGAAGTTACTATCTTTTCTTCTTATCTTAGGACTCAAAGCAAGACAGAAGCAACAGTAAAGGGAAGAGAGGCTGCTGAATTCTTTGCCCTAAGCTCGGTTCTTTAAACAGTGGCCAAAACTGAAGTATTAGCCAATTTGAAGATGGATTCCTTGTTTTTTTTTTTTTTGTTTTTTGTTTTTTTTTAATGGCTGTTATCTGTTATCTCTTTAAAGAGATGCAATGTAGAGATCAAGGAGGATTTTAAAACTTTGCTTCTGTATTTGAAGCATTCGTTTATCCAAAAGAGTAAGTTAAAGTGTATCATTTCACTCTGAGTCACTTGACTTTCTGCTTTAAACTAGTGATTAAATGAAATCACAATTTTAGCGATAAGCCAAATTTTAACAAATTTGACAGATGCAGGCCTTTATATAATAAAGATTTTTATATCACTTATTGGTGCACACAATGTTTTTTAGAAATCTCGATTGATTTGAAACTTGAACTTAATGAAACAGAAAGCTTTTTCTGTAAAGGGCTGAATAGTAAATATTTGGGGCTTTGCTGGTCATAAATTCTAGACGTTGCAACTACTCAATTCTGCCCTTGTAGCATGAAAAAAGTTATGGACAAAATGTTAAAAAAATAGTGTGGTTGTGTTCCAATAAAACTTTATTTACAAAACAGGCAACTGGCTGGATTGAGCTTATGAAAACAGTCTGCTTTAAATTAGTCTATATATATATTTAGACTCTATAGATATTTAGACTCTTAAATATTTAAATATTATTCACAACTCCTTTAACTAGAGGTAATGTTATTTAAATTAGTATATTTCCTAGAATTTTTTCTACACATGTATATGAGACAATGATAAAATCATATGGAATTATTTTTTGTATTCTATTTTTTATATTAAACATTAGCTTTTTATATCAATACAGTAGTTTTGAAAACTTCATTTTGGTTACAAAAATATTAAAATTTAATGAGTATAAATTGATTTTTGTAGTCATTTTCTTTGGCTGTTTTATTTTATTCCCCAAGTATCTGCCATACTGCAAATGTCACATGTTTTACACAAAACTTAACCACTTTGATATATTTTCATTAATTGGGTATATTTTTAGAAGTGGAAACACTAGATCAAAGTGCACTAACTTAAAAATATCTAGATATAGAATGCAAAATTACTTTCTAAAAAGCAAAGGACTTTCTATTTCAACACATGCTCATTAATAGCCATGATTATTGTGTAAAAGAACTTGTCAACCCTCTTTTTCTAAATTAAATGAAAGAAATGGGGAGAGAGAAAGATAAAAAAGAAAGAGCACTCTAAAAATTATTTCTTATTTTTAAAAGGACTTAAATATTTATATATATAAAGATACACAACATATGAATAACACGTTGTTTTCTATATTTACAACATGGCATAGAGAATTTATTTTTCTAATAACAAAGCTGTAACTGTAATAACCACAATTCTGCTTACTCAATTACACAAAGCAGGGCAAGAGTTTCTGAAATTTTTCTCAGAGAGCTACAAAATTGCACAATTCACAGAGGCCATCAAAAAGTAATAAACTATGTAAAATTATGACGGGTATCTCAGCAGACATCCTAGTAAGACCTACCTGCTCCAGGATTTCAGTGGTTAGTATAAGCTGTGTAAAATCATTCACATGTTACAGTGTAGCAAACTAATGAACAATTTTTCCCAGTGCTGAGAAAATTTATAGAAAGTCTACAGCTACATTTTTGGGGAGGAAGTGGCAAACGTGGTGATTAAATGCACTTCAAAGTCAGTGAAAATAGGACATAACAGTAAGTGAGGTAGTACATATGTATGACTATATAATAGATACGACCATAATACTTCTTTCAGTAATCCTCATAAACTCAGTCTAGAAAAGTACTTTGGCTCAGTAATAGACTTTAGATAATATATTCATATCCAATTCAGTGATACGCTTAAACCCTGTTTACTTCCAGTGAGATGCTATGGGGCTGAAATAGTTTTCTTGATACAGTCCTCTAAACCTTGGACTGCAGTATTTTCGAGTTCAGAAATGTTTACTAGTAGAATTGCTTATTTTTTTTGTCCAAGCTACTCCTCCAATTTTTAACATTTAAAGGGAATGTTCTTCAACCTACATGAAATACAATATTTTATGTATCCTAATGAGGTAGAAATGAAGTATTTTTGCAGCATTATTTTTATTTTTCAAATTGTCAATTGTAAAAAAGTTCAAACAAAAAATATAAGCATGTAGTACCATAAACATATGCATATGTCTGCCATCTAGATTCAATATTTGCTTTCTCCATCTAGGTAGCTATGAGAAAGAATTTTTGATTTTTGTTTCATTTTTCTGAGTAAGCTATTGAAAATAAGTTGAAGACGCTATTAACATTTTGCTTCCAGAGTAATCTAGCATCCACACATAATAATGAGGACATTCACATGGGCAGTCTCAATCTCATTATTTCTTCCAAGAAAATTAACACAAATTCCCTGGTATACAATATCTAGTATATATCAAAATTTCAAAAATTTCCTCAAAATGTAGCTGCTATATAGAGCCAACATTGTATCTTCTTAATCTTTTTTAATCCGGAACAGTTCCACTACAATTTATTTTTACATTGCAGAAAAAAACACTCATATGTTTAAAGACATTACAATAGAAGGTACCCACAATGAAATGCAGAAAAAATTACTGGGAAAGAAATAGTCAAAACAATGGCCAGCTGTGGTAAAACTTTATGCAGCCTAACAAATGTGCAAATGCAGTTCATGACAGCAGAAAGAGAGGTTGACAAGAAAACAAAATAAAAAGAAACAATGGCCAAAAAATCCCCAATTTTATAAAAAATAAATAAATTCAGATCCAGAATCTCAGCAAAAGTATAAGAAACCAAAATGAAAGAGAAGCCAAGGAAGACAGTTTTCTTGTTTTTTGACCAGAAGCACTGCAGGACTTTCTTCTAACCTATATTTTTAAGAATGATTGTATAGAAAGAAGCCTTAGAGGACAGAGACAGTGTCTCTCTCTGGAGCACGGATTAGGTGTATACACTGTGCATTAATAAAAATTCCACTTTCTCTGTAACAAAATGCATTGCATATACAGGGACAGATCACATGGTTCTCTTCATATCACAAGTTGGGAATTGGGCTTCAGAGAACCAATGCAAGAAAATGCTGGCGCTGGAACAACCGGAGACCCATATGAAAAAATGAGCCTCTGTCTTTACCTCAAAATGGATCATAGACTTAAATATAAAAGCTGATACTATGTAATTTAAAAAGAAAATCTTAGAGACTACAGAGTAGGCCAGGATTTCTTAGAACTATAGGAACAGAAATCATAAATTGAACTTTATCAAAATTAAAAATAAAAATTTTCACGTCTTTACAAACACCATTAAGAAAATGAAAGACATGCTACAAACTGGGAGAAAATAATTGCAATATATGTATCTGGTAGAAGATACATATCCAGCATATACAAAGAAAAATTATAACTCAACAATAAAGTGAACAATACAATTTTTTTAAATGGGCTAAAATTTGAAAAAAAATTTGTGAAGGAAGATATTTGAATGGCTTTTGAACATAAAAAATGTTTGATGTCATTTAAATCAGAGAAATGTAAATTAAACTTACGATGTGATACCACTGCAGAAATGCTAACATTTTAAAAACTTACATAATTTGTCATCTCTATAGAATGGAATATTATCTAGCAATAAAATGAGTGAAATTTTGATACATCCATTAACATTAAAAAGCAAAAGAGGCCAAAGACAAAAGAGAACGTAATCTATGACTCCATTTAAATGAAAGTCCAGAAACTGAAACATAAATCTACAGTGACAGAAAACATTCAATGCTTGCTTAGGGCCTGGAATTGGGAGTAGAGATTGACCTCAAAGGTATGGAAGAAAATTTTCCAGATAATGGAAATATTCTACATCATGATTGTGCAGGAGATTACATGGGTATATACATTTGCCAAGGCCAGTTAAACTGTACAGTTAAAATGTAAAATCATCTCTCAAAAAAAGTTGATTAAAAACGTAAAACCAATGGCCACATGCAATGGCTCACCCCTGTAACCCTAGCACTTTGGGAGGCCAAGGCACATGGATCTCTTGAGCTCAGGAGTTCAAGACCAGCCTGGACAACATAACGAAAACCCATCTCTTCAAAAAATACAAAAATGAGCTGGGTGTGGTGGCACGTGCCTGTAGTTGCAGCTCCTTGTGGGGCTGAGGAAGGAGGATTGTTTGAGATCAGGAGGTCAAGGCTGCAGTGAGCTGGGATCGTGCCACTGCACTCAGGCCTGGGAGACAAAGTGAGACCCTGTCTCAAAAAAAAAAAAAAAAAATAAGACCAGTAAAGTAAAATATTTAACTTACCAGAGACTCATGGAGGCTTTTTTAATAGTAGAAAAATTAAGAAATTTGATTTGGTTGATAGGGAGATGAAAGACAGCAAGATAGATTTATTTTGATAGGAGAAACCACTGCCATTCACCTCTAGTAATGGGGACCAGAGAAACTTCAGCGAGAGAATTCTGCAGAAAATTGTCCCTCATTGTAAGGGAGAAAAAGAAATAAAGTCTCTAAAAGTTTACAGTAGATAATCTTACATATTATATGGTCATAAATCCTATAATTCATTTGTAAGAAACTTTAATTTTCTAATGTTTACTGTGCTTCTTAACAAGACCTGCTACTCATAATTCAAAATATTTATAAGTAAGTGCAATGTTTATTTCCATATTTCTCAGAGTAGGCTTTCTATGCACATTAATAAATGGATATGAGTTGATTAATTGTGTATTTTGCAATGTTCCCAAGAACATTTTTATTTATTTTCCTTTCTACATACCCATTAATTTTAATATTAAAGTAATACCTATCTATTCATTTATCCAGGCTTTAGGTAACAGACCCTATATTTCTATATGTCTTTTTTCCCAAAGTTATTTCAAATGCTGTCACTTAGTATATATTTGTTTAAATATTTATTTGATTATTAAAGAATATGGATGATGGAGGATCTCACTATGATAGCAAAATCATATCATTTGTTTACATATGTAGCATGGAGTAATAAGTTTGTGTTATTTGTTATTAGATCTAGATAAATTAGAAGAATGTACTATTATCTTTAACAATACAATTGCTCTGATTAATGTTAACACTCTGCATCACTTCATAAAATAAGATGATATTGAAATATTGTTTCTCTCTCTTTCTCTCTCTCTGTCTCTCCAACCTTATCTTTGTTATTGACTTCATTTTCCTATTTCACCAATTTATTCTCTATTTATCCAATGGGAATCACAAACCCAATGTGAATTTTTGTAAATTTTGGCCTTCATTAAATTTTAAGCCTGACTTATAATCTCCAACCTGCCAGTCTCTTAAACTTCATTCTATTTATCTTCAAATGTTGCTTAAGAGGCAACTAGTGTTTTATATAAGTTAGAAACTGAAAATCCTTTTGAACTTCTCCAAATATTTAGTTATCACTCCACTGTTATAACCAAAATCTATTGATATTTGTGTAGTAAAGAATTTAAACTTTCCCAAAGAGAGGTCTGATCTTTCCCCTCAGCTTTTGGGAGATAATCTCTAAGCCTCTGAAATATCCTGCTTGATAACGGAGTCTTTGTTTAGGGTGGGGTCTAACCATGCTATAAAGGATACAAATGGGATTTACCTAGAGGCTTTGGGTCATGAGGCATTAGCATCGTCTCTGGAGGAGGTGGAGAATGAAATAAGCCAGATAGGCAGTAAACCTGCCTACCTAATGAAGCCACTCAATCTCACGTAATCTTCTCTACTTGGCAATATTCCATGTGTATTATCACACATTGTGGCCAGAAGTTAACGTTGTCCATGAGTCCACTGGGAGAGAACACCCGGAAGTGCCATGTTTAGAACCCATCTATTTTCTGCCCCATGAGTCTCTTTCCCTGGCTAACTTTAATCCATATTCTTTCCCTGTAATAACTATAATCATGAGTATAACAGATTTCAGTGAGTTTTGTGAGTCCTTCTAGTGAGTTATTGAAACCTGAGGATGTTTTAGGAAGCCCCAAACTTACAGTGTCATGAGTGAAAGATTGTGCTTTCTTTAACTTTTGCAATACTCCATGACATTCTTCTCCAATTTCTCTACTCTATTCTATTCATGTGATTACTTGCTCTCATCATATTACTGATGCATTATTACAACAACTATGCAACCATTCTCTTCTTCCTGAAATCAATTTTTCCCATTTAATATTATTCTAAAATATAAATTTCTTAATGTCAGCCTTGTCAAAAGTAGGTTGTTCCTCAACATAACATTTAATACCTGCGTAACATGTCCCCTTTCAAGTTTAAAAGCCTCGTGTCCATCATACCCTGCTCTCCATCAACCCTATGATTTGGTCACTAAAATTCCATCATGGGGCCGGGCGCGGTGGCTCACGCCTGTAATCCCAGCACTTTGGGAGGCCGAGACGGGTGGATCACGAGGTCAGGAGATTGAGACCATCCTGGCTAACACAGTGAAACCCCGTCTCTACTAAAAATACAAAAATTAGCCGGGCATGGTGGTGCGCCCCTGTAGTCCCAGCTACGCGGGAGGCTGAGGCAGCAGAATGGCGTGAACCCGGGAGGCGGAGCTTGCAGTGAGTCGAGATCGCACCACTGCACTCCAGCCTGGGCGACAGAGCGAAACTCCGTCTCAAAAAAAAAAAAAAAAAAAAAATTCCATCATGATTTTCTATGATGAACTTATATAATCCATGAACCTTCTTACCTCTGCCTTTTTTACTTAAATATTCTTTATTGGCTTGTCTACTGATCTTTCAAGGCATTGCCAAAATCTGACTCTGTGGTGCCTTCTTTTGTGGTCCAAGCAGAATGAATTTGTCTTTGGTTTGTGTTCTTTTAGGATTTTTGGCCTATGTTATTACAGAAAATTCCATGTTTTTCTCTTATTACCCTGTAAATACATGCAATCCAAGAGATATTTTTTTTTGGAGGGCAGAAAAGAAAAGTCTTCAAATGATTGACTTTGAGGACTTTGTACTAACTTCATTCTAAGAGCATAACTGTGAGTTGCAAATGCTAATGCCACCTGTCTATGATTTGAGATCAGAATGCTGTCTGTAGAGTGAAGATTCTGCTTTCAGTATCAGAATAGAAAGGTCTAGGTGTTTGAAAAAGAGGAATGAAGAATTATTTAAAGCAGGAACTTAATCATGTGAGCTTGATTATTTACTAAATGCTTACTCTGTGGCAGGCCCTTTGTTAAGCTTTTTTTCATGTGTTATATCGATTATGAAATGCGAAAGGCAGAAAAGTACTAAGAGAATAAGTAATGGATAATCTATTTCAACTCAAAATTCTCAAGCCAGAACTACATCCAGTTGTTTTCTATGCATTTTTGATATTATGTCTAGCATAATAAGCAAGAATGCAAAATAAATAAAATCTCCTTCCTTCAGGGAACATATGATCTAATCAAATATTAGGTTGGTGCAAAAGTAGTTATGGATTTGCCATTTAAATTGCAAAACCCATAATTACTTTTGCACAAACCTAATAGAAAAATATATGCTATGTGAAGATTATTATAATAAGTAGTAATATAATGTGACAGGCAGAAACATAGAAGACTAATTAGCCCTGTCTAAGGATGTTGAAAAGTTCTTAGATATGGTTAAATGGAAATTCGGAATTCAACGAACACTGTTTTCCTTTATAATATGGATACTCTAGTCAGAACTTGAAGAGCTAAATGGAATTTTTGTGTTTAGCATGAAATAATTTTCTACACTTAAACTGGTTAAATATGTTTAGTTAAATTTGTCAGAGACAGAAGCTTTACCAATACTTTATGTTAAGAAAGCTAGTAGCTCTTTCAACATATTGAACTTTGCTGCAACCATGAATTGTGTTTTCAGTGAGTGACTTGCAAATTATAATCTATTATAGATAAATTAGCATAATTTAACATGAATCTATTATTACAGCTTTTGATCTTTGAAATTGTTTTCTCATTTTGGCCATAATCTTTTCAGTTACAGAAATAATATTTTTTCAAGTGTTTTACTATATATCATTTAAAAATTAGCTTGAGCATCAAAAAGCATATTTACTTCCAAGGACTCATGAATATATATCATAGAAAGATTCTCTGTCTGATTACTCAAAATTTAAATATGGTATGTGCAAATATAAGCAATCTTCCCTTATGTTTTCCCCATAAGTGTTCTTCCTTCTATCTTAACACCGCCTTCCAATTTTCTTCAACTGCTTAGGCCAACTGTGTAGTTTTCTGTCTATATTTTGATCTGTGATTTAGGATTTTGTTTGACTCTGTTTATGTCCTCTACCACAAATGTATTTATTTTCTGTATAGAATTCTGCTTTATTTGGTCCTTGACCATAATGACAAAGGCACTTTTTATGAAGACCATGATAGAGGTTGGAAAAAATGAAATTATAGGTGTATATCTTAAGGAAGTGATTGGTTTGTTGCAATATAAGATAATCTGTAGTAGACATTTAATATTATTATTAAAGATTCCCTGAATAGCCCATTTTGGAAAACAGCACCCAATTCAATTCTTTTATCTATTTTTGTGGGTGTCATAATCTCTTCTTTGTTCTGAGAAGTGCCACTGCATACTCACTCACTATTTCTTGTCATTTGGCTGACACATTCAGCTGAGCATTGCTAATCTTTTCCCAAGTCATAGAATGGATTTGGGCCAGACTAGGATCAATATCTCTTTTTAAAAAATTGTGTAAAGGATGCTTTCTGTACTTTAATTTAAGCAAGATTAACACATTTAGAAACAGCTTTATAAAGTTCAGTCTGCATAAGGTTAACAACATTTTCCTTTCTAGAATTAAAATGCTCACAGTTTATTTATCTTTCAATTAATCAATATAAGCACAAATGGCAAGTATGCATGGACACCGGTTGCTTGATAGCTTTTTTATACAAATTTCAAAATCCAATTGACATTTTGCAGTATTTTCCTGTCTTATTTATGGCCCATAATAACCTTTTTCATTTTAGCATTTTGTTTTATTTTTAGAGCTTTGCTTACATTGTTGGATGGATCTAGTATGGATCATATATCAGCTCTCAAATGGTCAAGAAGACATGATAAACAAAAAGCAAATTTTTTCAATAGCATCATATTAGAATGCCTTTGTGATGGAATTTTATATCATGTTGCTTATGGTTGACATCCTTTTTTCCCTTTTCTTCAAAGTGCCATGAGATGAAACTAGTATTTTCCACATTCAGTTTACTGTGTAATTCATCATATGCATTTAATTTTCATATGAACATGGCATAAGACAACGTCTTTTCCAGGTATGATATACACTGCACAGCCTGCATTTAATTTCTTGATAAAAATTGCAAATATCAGCAGATTTAATGTTCATGGGAAAGGATCTAGTCGTGGAATCTTTGTAGCATGCTTTTGTTTTGGGCCATTAACTGGGGTGACTTCATTTGATTTTATGATTACTTCACTCTGACTTGTAAATGGAAGAAAAACTACAGTCCAAGGAATTAAAATATCTAAATTATCACAGATTTTAATTTATATATATTAACTAAAATTATCATTCCATTTTTTTAAATCAGTGTAAATGAATGTTTTATTTAGTATTTTTATTTCATTATAAATATGATATGTATATATTTTGAAAGATGTTCTATACTAGGCTTTTATTCATATTTGATGTATTATTTGCTATGTTTTTATAAAATGTATTTTAATAATATTTTGCTATATTATAAATATCATATCAATGTTGGCATGTGATAACATTTATTAGCCTAATGCTTGATTAATGAAATTATTTTCACTATCTCAGTTCTGATATTTACATATTTAATTAAGTCGAGGAAGTTAATTAGCCATTCTCAGATTCCCTAAAAGCTAAATATAGATAAACCCTCAGATCCTTATGAGTTAAAACCAAAACACCTATCATCAATATATAAGCAGAGACACTTAGTAAGTCTAGATTCAAAATGCCTACCTGTATTTGTATGGTTGTGATATCTCCTTTTGCCAGCAAATGAATATACTTGAAATCATGCTAAAAGCCAGAAAATTATTAAAATAATAAAGAAGTGACTGTTGCTCACTTAGATAGGTAATATAATATCTATAACACAGATGAAAATTAAACATTTTTAGATAAAATTTTTGAGTACACATCAGGATACCTATTTACATTAAACTTACATAGAATTTTAAAGAGACATGAATATCTGACTTTCTGGATTGCCATCAATATGAGGAAAAGAGGCCTGCTCTTAAACGCAAGACAAATGTACCCTACGATAAACTACCTTTAGGAGTAAGGGAAAAGACTGAAATTTTATGGAGCTGACACAAGAATCTTAAAATTTTCTGAAATATTTTATCATAGTATGAAGCAGTAAAATCTATTTTATGTTTTAAGATATTACAATTACTATTAGAATGAAGTGTTACAAAATGAATAAATATGCACACTTACTGTTATATGCTACATTTTACCTCCCAAAAAATTCATATGGTGAAGTCCTAATTTCCAGTACCTCAGAATTTGGACTATATTTGCAGACAGGGCCTTTAAAGAGATGACTAAGTTAAAATAAAGTTGTTAGAGTCTCTGATCCAGTTCGACTGGTGTCCTTACCAGAAGAAATCTGGACACACGGGGAGACACCAGGGATACACACACACAAGGTAGGAAGACCACAGTGAGGACACAGTGAAAGCGTGACCATCTGCTAGCCAGAGAGAGGCCTCAGAAGAGACTGAATGTGCCAACACCTTGATGTTGGGCTCTAGTCTCCAAAATGGCATGAGAAAATAAATGTCTATTATTTAAGCCATCCAATCTGTGGTAGTTTGTTATGGCCATTCTAGCAAACTAACGTACTCATATTAAATAAAAATAATGATAATTAAAATAACGTATGGCCAGTAGATCCTGCTAAAGGAAGCTATGTGACTTGTTTTGGATCATTGCTGTAACAAAAGTTAACAGTTCTGTAGCAGAAGAAAAAAATATTTTGTCTTTTCATCTATTCATTTAGATAAAATAATTACCCTGGAATGCAAATGAATATTATACCCTTCTGTGTATGTGCATCCATGTATGTAGACACATATTCATAAACCTTTATGAATAGTGTCTTTAGAACAGTTATCATGGCTACTTAAATAACAAAAGTAGGCTACAAATTATTAATTTGCTTTCTTCATTAAAAGTATATGATGAATAAAATAATATTCTGAGTAATTATAAAATTTTAGTCATGCATATATAAAACTTTGTTTTCAATATCTAATTGTACCATATAAGTGGATATTTTTGTCTATGCAGAATCCATGCTTTATATAGAGAACAATGGAAAATTGTGCATATGATATATAATTTGATTGTTATTCCTTTCACCATCTAAATTTTTAAAATAGTATATTTTAACACTGTATGCCATTTTATCATATTTCTGCTTCTTCAAGGCCAGCTTTAAAAAATTCAGTCTTATAAATTTGATGAATTGAGGCAAATTGCTGCTTTACCTTTGTTGTTATTTTCAGCTTCAACCTACCTACATTGATAAGGGTCTATCCTCATTCAAATGATTATATTTTAGGTTAATTTTTTTTCTTGTTTGTAAATTATACATTAAATAAATTCATCGCACTTATAAGTTTTCCACACAGTCAGTAACATATTTTTCATAAAGGAAAGAATTTTATCAATTCCACATATCAATTCCACACACTTATATGTCTTAAATAAGACATATAAGTAACTTGCCTCATTTAAGACATATAAGTAACTTGGTTCATGTAGTTCTCTATTCTAATACTATAGATCCCTTAGAATTTTGTTACATATTTTATTATTTATAATAGTTACTTCACTGACTTCATAGTGAAGCAAATATATCATTTTGTACCTTTGCAATTTTCTACAGATAAGCAACTAGCCCGAAATATTATCTAAAAAGGAATCATTCCTTTGCAAATATTATTTGATTGTTACAGCTATACATTCATGTATAATGTGTGATATAGTTTGGATATTTGTCCCCTCCAAATCTCATGCTGATGTATGATCACAATGTTGGGGACAGGGCCTAGTGGGAGGTGTTTTGGTCATAGAGTGGTTCCTTTATGAACAACTTGGTGCATCCTTGCAGTTATGAGTGAGTTCTTACTCTCTTAGTTCTCCGTGAGAACTGATTGTTAAAAAGAGCCTGGCACCTCCCTCTTTTCTCTCTCTCTCTTGCTTCTGTTTTCTTTTGCCAAGTGATCGCTACACATCGGCTCCTCTTCCCTTCCCCTTCTGCCATGAGGAGGTAGCTTAAGGCCCTCACCAGATGCAGATGCCCATGACATGTTACTTGAACAGCCTGCAGAATCATGAGCCAAATAAATCTCTTTTCCTTATAAATCACCCAGTCTCAGGTATTCCTTTATAGTAATACAAATGGACTAAGACAACTTGTCAACATAAATTTCTCATGAACTTTCATTAGGTCATGGATGGGAAGCTGTGAATGATAAATGTAGCAAAAATAATTACCAATTAGTGAATCTCATCTAGTGACATTATTTTAACAATCATATATTATCTAACTTTGTCCTTTGTTTGCAATGTAGTCCAGCAATTTATATTTTATTTTCTGTCCATACTTGATTGACTATTGCTTATTAGGGGATGTCTAAAGCAATTGCTATACCTAGACTCCTAGCTGTACAATCTACAGATGCTTCATCCGCAATGTTGACTGAAAGATAAAATCTTCTTAACTGCCTCTTCATCTGGATTATTTCTTTATCACTTTCCTAATGATAAAGTGTTAAATTGTTTACAGGGTTTTTTTCCACATACTATTGCCTGGCACTTTTTCAAACTGCCTGATTCAAATTACCATCCTCCACCATGCCAAATCAAGACATGTGCTAAGTCCAATCCTCTAACTTCTGTCTAGAATAGAGAATTTGTTTTATTTTGTTTTCTATGATTTATGAAAAATATGTGTTGACATCTTTACCTTAAATTGTGGAATTGTGAATTTAATTTTCCTATTCTGTCAGTGTTTACTTTAAGTATCTTAAAGCTATTTCTCTGAACATTTTTTATCATGCAGTTCTACTGGGATGAATTCTTCCAGCTTCTATTTGTATAAAAGAAAGTCTTTATTTTACACTCAATTTGGAAAGATAGTTTTCTATGTATGAGTTTCAAATCTGACTGTTTCTTTCGTTGCTTTAAAGATTTCATTCCATTTTATTCTGTGTTGCATGGTGTCAGAAAAAAAGTTTGCTGTAATTTGTATTAGTTCTAGTGAATATAATGTGCTGTTATTTTATGGCTGCCTTTAAGATTTCTTTATCGTTGTATCAGCGTTTTCACCTCTTTCTCCTCCTCCTTCTTTTTTTAACTTGTTCTAATTAATATTGTTATTTGTGTGGATGTGGGCTTTTTGGTATGCATCCTAACTGGGGTTGTTTGGTCTACTGAATCTGTGAATTTATAATTTTTATTAAACTTGGAAATCTTTACAGTTAAAATACATTATTCTTCTATGCTCTACTCCTCGAATTTAGATCACTTGCTTACCCCACAGGCCACTATGAATTGTGTTTTTCATTATTTTCCTTTATGTACTTAGATTTGGATAATTTATTTCTGTGTTTTCAAGTTCACTGTCCCTTTCTTCAACATCTAAACTGCCATTAGTTCAACACAGTAATTTTTTATTTTGAATATTGCATGTGTCATCTCTACATTTTTTTATTTAGAATTTTTAAATACCTTGCAATTCTCCCCTCCTTAGGTCTTAGGTCTATGCTTTCCTTTAGCTACCTGTGCAAATTTATATTAACATGAGACTTTGTAAATCCATGTTAGTTAATTCATTAATGGTGTTAATTTGTAGGCTGATTTGCATTAAATGATTTTTCTCTCAATTATAGATCATATATTCCTGTTTTTTGCATGTCTAAAAATTTCTGATTGTATATTTGACACTTTTAGTTTTATCTTGTTAATGCCAGATTTTGCTGTATTATTAAACAGTTTTAGATTTTTTTCTGGTAGTCAATTGAATATGGTAATGTTTGCTATAAGTTTTCTCAGGCTGTGTCCAGAGTAGCCTATAAAATAGAACTATTCTATTTCTAGTACAAAGGGAATGATCTTTCCGTAGTAACCATGAGTGACTTTGTATACTTACTAAGGTCTCTGTACCCTGGATGGTGGGATGTCAAACAATTCAAGATACCTACTAATTATATTTTACTTAGCAATTGTTTCTTTGCCAGTCTTCATAGATATTCACCCTATGCATTTGCTGAATGGTACTATATCAAATCTAATACCTTAGATTTCTGGCACTCATTTTTTATAGATCTTTTCTGCTACTCTGATCCAAAATTTCTAGCTGCTGTGGGCTACTCAGATTTTGGCATTCAATTTCTCAACCCAATGAGGCTATACGTTTTTCAGAATCTACTCTTATAAACTGGGATCTGAAATTTATTCCAGGAAGCAAGCTGTGTAGCTTATCTCATTTGATTTTCCATTCTCAGGAATCACAGACCTGTGCTGTCTATATTTCAATGACTAAAATAAATGTCTTATATTTAGTCCAGTATTCTAGATGCTTACTTGTTATATAAATTATGCCATCGTTGTAGAAAAGAAAAAATAAAAGGAAGACTCAAAATCTACTGTCAAGTATTTTTTACTGGTCGTATAATTTATATATAAAATCTATACATTAAAATGTAAGATAAAAATATTTATAATCAGTCAAAAATTATATTTTGTTTAGACAACACTCAAAAAAAGGTTCATGATTTCGTTCTTCCTTTTTTTTTTTTTTTCTTTTGAGACAAGGTCCTGCTCCATTGCCCAAACTAGAGAGCAAGAGTGCAGTGGTTATGATCCTACCTCACTGTAGCCTCAAGCTCCTGGGCTTAAGTGATCCTCCTTCCTCAGCGTCCCAAGTAGCTAAGAATACAAGTCCATACACCAACATGCCTGCCTAATATATATATATATATATATATATATATATATATATATATATATATATATATTTTTTTTTTTTTTTTTTTTTTTTTTTTGTAGAAATGGGATCTCTCTATGTTACCAAGGCTGGCCTTGACCTCCTAGGCTCAAGCAATCTCCCTGCCTTGCCTCCCAAAGTCCAAGGAATACAGGCATGAATCACTGCCCCCAACTCAAGATTTTTTAATGTAACAATCTCTATTCTCATATCACTTTCAAAATCAATAGCTAATATTCAAAAATTTTTATTCAAACATAAAATTTTAATCTTATTTATTTCCTTCTTTAAAATACTAAAAAGAAAAGTAGATTTACAAATGGGAAAAAGGCGAGAAGATTCAGGGGGATGGAAAAGTAGTATACCCCAGAAATCTTTCTCCACACCTAGACAACAACCACAGTGGTAGAATCTGTCTGATATAACTGTTTTGGAATTCTGGAGAATATTGAAGGCTTGCAGCTTCCTGGGGAAGGCTTGGTTCCTGTTGCAGCACCTTTCTTCAATGTTGCAAGCCTCTCCTACTCTGGCTGAAGCGACTACCAGGGGATTTAAAGGGCCAGTGCCCTTCCTTCACCCCATTATTTTCGTCTTTTTCCTATTTTTGAGAACCAGACATTAAAGACTAAGACATTCAAAAACAACTGTATTTAAGGGTCGGGTGTGGTGGCTCACACTTGTAATCTCAGCACTTTGGGAGGCCAAGGCTGGCGAATCTCTTGAGGTCAGGAGTTTGAGACCAGCCTGGCCAATATGATGAAACCCTGTCTCTACTAAAAATACAAAAATTAGCCAGGCGTGGTGGTGCACGCCTGTAATGCCAGCTTACTCGGGAGGCTGAGGCAAAAGAACTGCTTGAACCAAGGAGACAGGTTGCAGTGAGCCAAAATTATACCACTGCACTCCAGCCTGGGTGACAGAGTGAGACCCTTCCTCAAAACAAAAAAAGTAAAAACAAAACAAGCAAACAAAAAACTGTATATAAAGGGAATATTAGAAAGTAACCACACATGACCAGGAAAAAGGCCAGGTTCATAAAAGAGCAGAGAAGACCTAAGATTATACCTCAAACTTATTATTGACTCAGAGACAGCCAAAATAATTCACAAAACAAAAACAATTACAAAAAACAGCAAACGCTGGGGAAAGGTTAGAATCTCATTTCCACTGTTACCACATTATTAGATTCAAATGTGTAGTTTTCAACAACAAAAATCCGCACAAGACATACATAAAAACAAACAAAAAATCACAGGGCATACAAAGGAATATATAGCCCACTCAAAGGAAAAATAAATTAATCAATATAAACTGTCCCGGAAAAAGACCTAATAGCATACCTATTAGAAAAAGACTTTAAAACAATTACCTTAATGATGCTCAAAGAACTTAAGAAAAATGTGAAGAACGTCAATAAATTAAATATGAACAAAATGGAAAAATCAATAAAGAGATTTTAAAAACTTAAAAAGAAATCAATAAGAAATTCTGGAGCTGAGAAGTATAGTTACTGAAAAGTAAAATTTACTAGAGGGATTCAAAGGCAGTTTTGAGCAGGCAAAAAAAGGAAGCAATGAACTTGAAGACAAAACAATACAAGTTACCAAGTCTGAGAAATGGAAAGAAAATAAGATGGACGGAGAGTGAATGGAGCCTAAGGGACCTATGGAACACCATCAAGCAGACCAGAACACACACTGTGGAAATCCAAGGAGAAGAAAGACCGTGGTACAGAGAATATTTGAAGAAATGGCTGAGAAAGAAATGGATGCCAAATTTGATAAAAGATATAAATATAAACATCCAAAAAGCTCAAGTAATTCCAAGTAGATGGAATTTAAAAGACTAACACCAAGGCACATTCAAATCAAACTTTCAAAAGCCAAAAAGAAAATCTTGAAAGTAAAAAGAGAGATGAGCAGATTTCTCATTAGACCCCTTGGAGACTAACAGGCAGTGAGTCCACATATTCAAAGTGCTAAAAGTAAAACAATAACCAAGAATCCTATATCAAGCAAAACTATCCTTTAAAAGTGAGAGAGAAGTTAAGGAAATTTGTTTCCAGATAAACAAAAAGAGCTTGTTACCACAAGACCTCCCCTGCAAGCAATATTCAAGGAAGTCCTGCAGAGTGAAATGAAAGGACATTATACACTATGGGACACTATACACTATTTTGAGCTGTATGAAGAAATAGAGATCTCAACAATGGTAAATCAATGAGCAATTACAAAATATTGTACTATTCTAATAATGATTTGTAACTCCATTTATGTTTTCTACATGCTTGAAGAGACTAATGCATTTATTTAAAAAATAAGTATTAATCTAAAACCTAGTATTATTGTGACTTCAGTTTGTAACTCCATATTTTGTTTTATACATAAATTAAAGGACTAATGCATTTAAACAATTAGTAGTTTATATTCGGGGGCACATAATATACAAAAATGTAATTTTGTGATATCAACTACCAAAATTAATGTGGACAGACCTGTTCAAAAGACTGTACTTTCTCCCACTGAATGGTCTTGGTACCCTTATCAAAAATCATTTTACTGTAAATTTCCCTTGTGATTTCTCCTTTGAACCATTCGTGGTTTAAGAGTGTGTTAATTTTCAGGAGAGTTGCTTGAACCTGGGAGGCAGAGGTTGCAGTGAGCTGAGATCATGCCATTGCACTCCTGTCTGGGCGACAGAGCGAGACTCCATCTCAAAAAAACAAAAAACACAAAACAAAAAAAAAGAGTGTGTTAATTTTTACAATTTGTGAATTTCCCAGTTTTACCTCTGTTATTGATTTTTAACTTTATCCCATAGGAGTTCAAGAGACACTTTTTGTGATATCTTTTAAAATATATGCAATCCCTATCAAAATCTCAATGATTTTTTTTCTAAAAGAGACAAAACACATAAAATAAATATAATACTTACACATATAATAAACATAAAATTCATTACATTTAAAAATCCATATAGAATCTCAAGGGTACCCCCATGTAGACAAGATAATCTTAAAAAAGAACAAAATTGGAACATACACATTTTCTGATTACAAAATTTACTACAAATCTGCAGTAATAACAACAATATAGTAGTGGCATAAGGACAGACATATAAATCAATGGAATAGAATAGTCCCAAAATAAACCCTTCCATATATGGTCATATGATTTTTCCTGAGTGTGCTAAGACCATTCAATGAGAAAAGGACAGTCTTTTCAAAAACTGGTGCTGAGAACATTGTATATCTACATGCAAAATAATGAAGTTGAACTCTTATATAATATCTTATACAAAAATTAACTCAAACTGTACCAAACACTTAGATGTCAGAACTAAAACTATAAAACTCTTATATGTAAATATAGGGCAAAAACTTCCCTATATTGAATTTGACAATTATTTCTTGAATACAACATCAGAGGCATAGGCAACAAAGGAAAATAGATAAATTGGATTTCATAAAACTTTAAAAAATTTATGCGTGAAAAGAGTATCAATGGTGTAAAAGGCAAACGACAGAATGGGAGAAAATATTTGCAAATGATATATCTGATAAGAGATTAATATCCAGAATATATGCAGAGCTCCTAAAACTCAGCAGCAAATATTAGTCAAATTCTAAAATGGGCAAAAGACTTTAATAGACATTTCTCCAAAGAAAACACACAAATGGCCAATAGACACATGAAAAAGTGCTCAACATAACTGATCATTAGGGAAAAGGAAGTCAAAACTGCAATGATATATACCACCTCACATCCATTAGAATGGCTACTGTCAAGAAAAGAGGAAATAAGTACTAGCAGGGATGTGGAGAAGTTAGAACCCTGTGCACTGTAAGTGGAAATGTAAAAGGGTAAATCTACTGTGGAAAACAGTATGGTTGTTTCTCAAAATATTAAAAATAGAATTACCATACAATCCAGTACTAACACTTCTAGGTATACACCCAAAATAATTGAAAACATGCACGTGAACATATTTGTATATCCATGTTTATTGCAAAATTCTTCACAATAGCCAAAAACTGGAAGCAACCCAAGTGTCCATCAAGGGATGAATGGATAAGCAATATGTTGAATATACAGATAATGGGATATTATTCAGCCCTATAAAGGAAGAAAATTCTAACGCATGCTACAAAATAAATAAAACCTGAAAACATTACACTAAGTGAAAAAATCCAGTCACAATAAAACAAATATTGTATGCTTCCATTTATGTGAGGTACCTAGAATCATGAAAATCAGAAACATAAGGTAGAATTGTCATTGCCAAGGGCTGGGTGGAAGGGTATTGAGGAGTGACTGCTTAATAGGTATTTGAGTTTTACCATATTGAAAGTTATGTCCATGGATGGTAGTGATAGCTGCATAACATTAGGAATGCATTTAATACCATTGGACTGTACACCTAAAAATGGTTAAGGTGGCACATTTTGTGTTTATTTTATGTGTAAATATTATGTTTATTTTACGTTTTACCAGAATAAAAACAAATGAGAAAAAAAGCAATAAAGAATGTACAAACATATAATTCCAAAGTCTAGAAATAAATAATTACTAACATCATCTATTAAGTCAAATAAAGGTATTTTTCTTCAAAATTTTTAAGTGCTAGTAATTTTTTTTGTTATGAGGCACTTGTTAAAAATGTAGACTCTGGAATCTGCATTAAACCTGTTAAAGCAGAGTCTCATATGTACGATTACTAACTGCATTACCTTGAGCAGATTACCAACCCTTCAACCCAAGGGTTGGAAAACTATGGCCTGTGGACCAAAACGGGCCTTCTGCCTATTTTTGCGAATAAAAATTGTATTGAATTACAGTCACATCATTTGCCTTTTATCTATGGCTATATTTTAGCTAAAATAGCAGAGTTGTGTATTCATGACAGAAACCAGTTGGCCCATGAAACCTCAGAAATTCACATATTTGACCCTTTAGAGAAGAAATTTACTGATCTCTATTTTAATATCTTTAAATCTCATTTTTCTCATGTGTAAAATCTATGTTATCTAAAAGTTTCTTGTATTTTTATACCAATTAATATAAAATATTATCCACTCCTAGAATATGAAAATGTTCAATTGCATGTTAGTTGCCAGCACAGCTGTTAACAGAAGAAAATTTATTCATTTCAACATTTAGGTATAATACCAACTCATACAGAAAGTAAAAGCACGGTGTCTTTTAATTTATAAATTTAAATTGAGATATTTTAGTTTTATAGGAGAAAAAAATCATTTTTAAGTTTCTGGAATCTCAATTTAAAAGGGTAAAAATTACCTAAAACCCTGCAAGATTTATCGTGGAATTCCGAATTACCACTCATGCAATATTCATACATACATGTGAAAGTTTCACTCTCTTTTATACAACATAATCATTCTTACATTTTAAAATTTCTCAGTAAACACATTTGTTTAATGAAAAATCAGGATTAGTAGTACCTTTTTCTTGTATAACATGAAAAAATCATTTGAGTATAATTACCATAAAATTCACTTTTGTAAAGTATGCAATTCAGAGGTGTTCAGTGTATTCACAAAGTTATATGAATATTCAGAGCTGTGATCATCATCACATAATTCCAGAATATTTCATCACTGCAGAAAGAAAGCCATACCTGTCAGCAGTCACTCCCTATTGTTCTCTTCCCAATGCCTGATAACTACCAATCTATTTTCTTTGTTATAGATTTTCCTATTCCAACCATCTACAAATAGGATAATAGAGAAGGCCTTTTCCTGCTTGGTTTCTTTAATATGTTTTCAAGGTCAAAAATACTTTTTACATGAATCCAAGGCAAATAGGCTGGTGGGAAGAGAAATAAAACATCATCAGATTTTAATGAATATAATTATCATAAACATATCCTACAGATACATGTACATCCTTGAAAAAGTGATTATCAGAGATGATGACATAACATAGAATTACAAATTGTATTTATTTTATTAGGTCTTTCTGGATTCCTTTTAGAAAAATCAACAACTTTCAAGTTGACCTGCTGGTAAATGGGCTACTATTGTAGTAACTTTATCAGGAATGTTAGGGTTTGGATCATTAAAGCAAGTCTTAAAGCACGTGATCTGATAGTAGGAAATGAAATTCTTTTACCCTCATGCCTGTGAAGTCAGGTTCTTATTCTATTTTTCGAATTGTTTGTGTTTTTGTCTGGAACATTTACTTTCTTTGGTTCATGATTAATAGAATAAGATTTCTTTTTCTGGGAAGTAGCAAGCTTTTGAACAAATATTAAGTGGAATCTAAACATTAACAATCTGATGCTTATCTTTCATATAAATTTATACATATTCACCCTGAGGAAGAGTGTACATTTCGATAATAGTTAATGCAATAATCTTTCTTGTTAGTATCCCTGTTAATAAGAAATAGAAGTTTTATTTGTGGTGTTCGCATCTGATATATTTTTTAACATGTCCAAAGGAAGAATCTAGGACATCCCATTAACCATAAATGGGCTTTCTCTTTATTATCTATCAATCATTTAGTTAAATGCTAAGAATGAAAAACAGATTAGTCTTATGAATGACAGTCTATGTGGAACCTGAGATGTTTAAAGGGAAGATTCATTGGCATCAGACCAATATGATGAAAACTTCCTTGATAGTCTCTTGAGAAGACAGTCATGATATTATCACTTACTAGAAAGGATTAAGCCATAGGTGTAAGGGTACATGAATTATTGAACCATTTGCATCTCCAGTGTGCAGTATTTGTTCTTCCTGCTCCCCTGAACGTATGTGACTGAAGAGAAAGACAGCATTATCCTCTAAAAGACAAATAGGTTTAATAAGTGCAGACACATTTCATTTATGTTACAAAATAAAGAATAGTTGTAGATCAACATTGCCATCACCCAAATATAACCACTATCTAAGTTTCACTTTTTCTAAAGAAATAAAACATAATTTATGCATATGAGAGATGCTGTTATCTTCCCTGAAATTCCTTCCCTAACACCATCCCCAGAGTTAATTTTATTTCTCTGTGTCAATTCTTCTCATCCATGTTAAAATATTCCTCAAAGTGTTTGTCATCCTAGACAATGTAAAAGGCACACTTTCTTTCCTGTCCAATTAACAATGGAAATACTGAAAAACAAATACATCAAAATACCCACTTGTAATGAATGAGAAAATTTTGCTTTAGTTATCCAGATCTTTTAAGCACTTTTTGTCTCTATTTTATTTCTTTTTATTTTTTATTATACTTTAAGTTCTGGGATACATGTGCAGAACATGCAGGTTTGTTACATAGGTACACACATGTCATGGTGGTTTATTCCAAGCATCATCCCGTTAACCTACATTAGGTATTTCTCCTAATGCTATCCCTTCCCTAGCTCCCCAACCCCGACAGGCACCAGTGTGTGATGTCCCCTCCCTGTGTCCATATGTTCTCATTGTACAAGTCCCACTTATGAGTGAGAACATGCAGTGTTTGGTTTTCTGTTCCTGTGTTAGTTTTCTGAGAATTATGGTTTCCAGCTTCATCCATGTCCCTGCAAAGGACATGAATTCATCTTTTTTATGGCTGCATAGTATTCCATGGTGTATATGTGCCACATTGTTTTATCCAGTCTATCATTGATAGGCATTTGGGTTGGTTCAAAGTCTTTGCTATTGTGAACAGTGCTGCAATAAACATGCATGTGCATGTGTCTTTATAGTAGAATAATTTATAATCCTTTGGGTATATACCCAGTAATGGGATTGCTGGGTCAAATGGTATTTCTGGTTTTAGATCCTTGAGGAGTGGCCACACTGTGTTCCACAATGGTTGTACTAACTTACACTCTCACCAACAGTGTAAAAGTGTTCCTATTTCTCCACATCCTCTCCAGCATCTGTTGTTTCCTGACTTTTTAATGATCGCCATTCTAACTGATGTGAGATGGTATTTCATTGGGGTTTTGATTTGCATTTCTCTAATGACCAGTGATGATGAGCTTTTTTCATGTGTTTGTTGTCTGCATAAATGTCTTCTTTTGGGAAGTGTCTGTTCATGTCATTTGCCCACTTTTTGATGGGGTTGTTTGTTTTTTTCCTTGTAAATTTAAGTTGTTTGTAGATTCTGGATATTAGCCCTTTGTCAGATGAATAGATTGCAAAAATTTTCTCCTATTTGGTAGGTTGCCTCTTCACTCTGATGATAGTTTCTTTTGCTATGCAGAAGCTCTTTAGTTTAATTAGATCCCATTTGTCAATTGTGGCTTTTCTTGCCATTGTTTTTGCTGTCTTAGTCATGAAGTCTTTCTCCATGCCTATGTCCTGAATAGTATTGTCTAGGTTTTCTTCTGGGGTTTTTATGGTTTTAGGCCTTAGGTTTAAGTGTTTAATCCATCTTGAGTTAATTTTTATATAAGGTGTAAGAAAGGGGTCCAGTTTCAGTTTTCTGCATATGGCTAGCCAGTTTTCCCAACACCATTTATCAAATAGGAAATCCTTTCCCGATTGCTTGTTTTTGACAGGTTTGTCAAAGATCAGATGTTTGCAAATGTGTGGCATTATTTCTGAGGCCTCTTTTCTGGTCCATTGGTCTATATATCTGTTGTGGTACAAGTACCATGCTGTTTTGGTTACTGTAGCCTTCTAGTATAGTTTGAAGTCAGGTAGCATGATGCCTCCAGCTTTGTTCTTTTTGCTTAGGATTGTCTTGGCTATATGGGCTCTTTTTTGGTTCCATGTGAAATTTAAAGTAGTTTTTTCTAATTCCATGAAGAAAGTCAATGGTAGTTTGATGGGGATAGCATTGAATCTATATTACTTTAGGCAGTATGGCCATTTTCATTATATTGATTCTTTCTATCCATGAGCATGGAATATTTTTCCATTTGTTTGTGTCCTCTCTTGTTTTCTTCAGCAGTGGTTTGTAGTTGTCCTCGAAGAGGTCCTTCACATCCCTTGTAAGTTGTATTCCTAGGTATTTTATTCACTTTGTAGCAATTGTGAATCAGAGTTCATTCATGATTAGGTTTTCTGTTTGTCTATAATTGGTGTATACGAATGCTTGTGATTTCTGCACATCGATCTTGTATCCTGAGATTTTGCTGAAGTTGCTTATCAGCTTAAGGAGATTTGGGGCTGAGATGATGGGGTTTTCTAAATATACAATATTGTCATCTGCAAACAGAGACAATTTGACTTCCTCTCTTCCTATTTGAATACCCTTTATTTTTTTCTCTTGCCTGATTGCCTTAGCCAGAACTTCCAATACCATGTTGAATAGAAGTGGTGAGAGAGGGCATCCTCATCTTGTGCCGGTTTTCAGTGGGAATGCTTCCAGCTTTTGCCCATTCAGTATGATATTGGCTGTGGGTTTGTCATAAATAGCTCTAATTATTTTGAGATACGTCTCATCAGTACCTAGTTTACTGAGGGTTTTTAGCATGAAGGAGTGCTGAATTTTACTGAAGGGATTTTCTGCATCTATTGAAATAATCATGTGGTTTTTGTCACTGGTTCTGTTTATGCGATGGATTACATTTATTGTTTTGCATATGTTGAACCAGGCTTGCATCCCAGGGATGAAGCTGGCTTGATCATGGTGGATAATATTTTTTATGTGCTGCTGGATTCAGTTGGTCAGTATTTTATTGAGGATTTTCGCATTGATGTCCATCAAGGATATTGGCCTGAAATATTATTTTTTTGTTGTGTCTCTTCCAGGTTTTGGTATCAGGATGATGCTGGCCTCATAAAATGAGTTAGAGAGGAGTCCCTCTTTTTCTATTGTTTTGAATAGTTTCAGAAGAAATAGTACCAGCTCCTCTTTGTACCTCTGATAGAATTCGGCTGTGACTCCGTCTGGTCCTGGGCTTTTTTTGGTGTTGGTAGCCTATTAATTACTGCCCCAATTTCGGAACTTGTTATTGGTCTATTCAGGGATTGGACTTCTTCCTGGTTTAGTCTTGGGAGGGTGTATGTGTCCAGGATTGTATCCATTTCTTCTAGATTTTCTAGTTTATTTAGGTAGAGGTGTTCATAATATTATCTGATGGTAGTTTGTATTTCTGTTGGATCAGTGGTGATATCCCCTTTATCATTTTTTATTGTGTCTATTTGATTCTTCTTTTTCTTTATTAGTCCAGCCAGCGGTCTATTTTGTTAATCTTTTCAGAAAAACAGTTCCTGGATTCATTGATCTTTTGAAGGGTTTTTCACGTCTCTATCTCCTTCAGTTCTGCTCTGATGTTAGCTATTTCTTGTCTTCTGCTAGCTTTTGAATTTGTTTGCTCTTGCTTCTCTAGTTATTTTAATTGTGATGTTAGGGTGTCGATTTTAGATCTTTTCTGCTTTCTCCTTTGGGCATTTTTGTGCTATAAATTTCCGTTTAAACACTGCTTTAACTGTGTCCCAGAGATTCTGTTATGTTGTGTCTTTGTTCTCATTGGTTTCAAAGAACTTACTTATTTCTGCCTTAATTTCATTATCTACTCAGTAGTCATTCAGGAGCAGGTTGTTCAGTTTCCATGTAATTGTGTGGTTTGAGGGAGTTTCCTAATCCTGAGTTCTAATTTGATTGCACTGTGGTCTGAGAGACTGTTTGTTATGATTTCCATTCTTTTGCATTTGCTGAGGAGTGTTTTACTTCCAATTATGTGGTCAATTTTAGGATAAGTGTGATGTGTTGTTGAGAAGAATGTATACTCTGCTTATTTGGGGTGGAGAGTTCTGTAGATGTCTATTAGGTCTGCTTGGTCCAGAGCTGAGTTCAAGTCTTGAATATCCTTGTTAATTTTCTGTTTTGTAGATCTGTCTGATATTGACAGTGGGATGTTAAAGTCCCCATTATTGTGTGGGAGTCTAAGTCTCTTTGTAGGTTTCTAAAAACTTGCTTTATGAAACTGGGTTCTTCTGTATTGGGTGCATATATATTTAGGATGGTTAGCTCTTCTTGTGGGATTGATCCCTTTACCTTATGTAATACCCTTCTTTGTCTTTTTTGATCTTTGTTGGTTTAAAGTCTGTTTTATCAGAGACTAGGATACTTGTGTATGCCTTGTAAAGTTCTCGTGCTATGTTTTTCAGCTCCACCAAGTCATTTATGTTCTTCTCTAAACTGGTTATTCTAGTTAACAATTCCTCTAACCTTCTTTCAAGGTTCTTAGTTTCCTTGTATTGGGCTAGAACATACTCTTTCAGTTCAGAGGAGTTTGTTATTATCCACTTTCTGCAGTCTACTTCTGTCAGTTTGTCAAATTCTTTCACCGACCAGTTTTGTTCCCTTGCTGGCGAGGAGTTGTGATCCTTTGGAGAAGAGGCGTTCTGGTTTTTGGAATTTTCAGCCTTTTTGCACTGGTTTTTCCTCATCTTTGTGGATTTATCTACCTCTGGTCTTTGATGTTGTTGACCTTCAGATGGGGTTTCTCTGTGGAAGTCCTTTTTGTTGTTGTTGACGCTATTCCTTTCCATTTGTTAGTTTTCCTTCTAACAGTCAGACCCCTCTTCTGCAGGTCTGCTGGAGTTTGCTGGAAGCCCACTCCGGACCCTGTTTGCCTGGGTATCACCAGCAGAGACTGCAGAACAGCAAAGATTGCTGCCTGTTCCTTCCTTTGGAAGCTTCCTCACAGAGGGGCACCCTCCAGATCCCAGCTGGAGCTCTCCTGTATGAGGTGTTTGTCAATCCCTGCTGGGAGGTGTCTCCCAGTCAGGAGGCACTGGGGTCAGGGACCCACTTGAGGAGGCAGTCTGTCCCTTAGCAGAGCTTCAGCTCTGTGTTGGGAGATCTGCTGCTCTCTTCAGAGCCAGCAGGCAGGAATATTTAAGTCTGCTGAAGCTGCACCCACAGCTGCCCCTTCCCCCAGGTGCTCTGTCCCAGGCAGATGGGAGTTTTATCTATAAGCCCCTGACTGGGGCTGTTGCCTTTCTTTCAGAGATGCCCTGCCCAGAGAGGAGGAATCTAGAGAGGCAGTCTGGCTACAGACACTTTGCAGAGCTGCAGTGGGCTCCGCCCAGTTTGTACTTCCCAGTGGTTTTGTTTATACTGTGAGGGGAAAACTGCATACTCAAGCCTCAGTTATGGCAGACGCCCCTCCCCTCACCAAGCTGGAGCGTCCTAGCTTGGCTTCCGACTGCTCTGCTGGCAATGAGAATTTCAAGCCAGTGGATTTTAGCTTGCCAGGCTCTGTGCAGGTGGGATCCACTGAGCTAGACCACTTGGCTCCCTGGCTTCAGCCCCCTTTCCAGGGGAGTGAACGGTTCTATCTCGCTGGTGTTCCAGGTACCACTGGGGTATGAAAACAAAACAAAACAAAAAAACCTCCTGCAGCTAACTTGGTGTCTGCCCAAATGGCTGCCCAGTTTTGTGCTTGAAACCCAGGGCCCTGGTGGCGTAGGCCCCTGAGGGAATCTCCTGGTCTGTGGGTTGCAAAAATTGTGGGAAAAGTGTAATATCTGGGCCGGCGTGCACCATTCCTCATGGCATAGTCCCTCATGGCTTCCCTTGGCTAGGGGAGGGAGTTCCCTTGTGCTTCCTGGGTGAGGTGATGCCCCACCATGCTTCAGGTCACCCTCCGTGGGCTGCACCCACTGTCTAAGCAGTCCCAATGAGATGAGCCGGGTACCTCAGTTGGAAATGCAGAAATTACCCGCCTTCTGTATTGATCTCACTGTATTGACAGGGCGAGACTCCGTCTCAAAACAAAACAACTTATGTCTAACATACTTAATGAAATGCTTTCTCCCTAAGAACAGGAACAAGACAAGGTATGCTCTTTACTGCTTGCATTAAATAAAATGTAATCCATATGTTGCATCATACGCAAATACTGTTCAAAAATAAACTTCTGGAAGAAAATTTGGGGAAAAATCTAATGTTAGATTAGGCAGTTTTTTTAAGGACAATAACAAAAGCACAATCTATAAAACCAAACTTTGACAAGTTAAAATTCATCAAAATGAAAACATTGTTAAGTAACTGGAAAGTCAAACCATAAACTGGGAGAAAATACCTGAAAGTAACATATTTAGTAAAGGAATTGTACCAGAAATATATTTTAAAAACTCTCAAAACTCAATACTATAAGAAAAAACTGAAAGATGGGTAATATATTTAAACAAACACTTCAACAAAGAAGAAACATGAAAGATAAGTAAGTATATGAGAAGATGCTCAATTTCATCACTTATTGGAGAAAAGAAAATTAAAGCCATAATGAGACACTACTATGTACTTATTAGAATGGGCAGCACACAAGTATTGATAATATTGAAGAGATTTTGATATGAGAAACCAGAAATAGGACATTGTTTCTGAAAATTTTTTCAGTGGGTCAAAACTGAACTTTTCTGCCACTGATATGTCAAAACTTACTTCCTAAATGCAGACAAATTTTTATTTTTCAAAGTATTGTCATAAATCGTTCCTTTGAAAAGAAATCAAAAGGAACAAAAATGTTATATATGATGTTACCTTAACTAATTACTTTTACTGGATTTCCTGAGCTAAGACAGAGCTGCCACAGTACTGTTGTTAGATAGAAAGTTGTTCTGGCCTCATTCAAGAGGATATTATTCTCCATTATAATTGCAGTGTTAAAGAGTAATCATCTTTATAAAGAGTGAAAGCTTTACCCAAATCTAATCTTAAGTATATTCTAAATCACAGCCTTTCATAATCCATGATATATTCTGAGGGAAAATCTCAGACTATAAGAGAGACAGCTAATCCAGATGGGGATCTGAAATAATTGGCATTGTACTTTTATAGCTCTCTCTTAACTCTCAAATCAATCTTGCAATAATATTTTTAAAATTACTGTCTATCCAGTTGCCTCATTAAGTTATACAATATTCTCAGACATTACATCGCTATTATGACATGAAAATGCATATTTAATGAGACAAAAGTTGTTTAATTCAAATATATATGGTGTGTATATATATATGGTTTTTCTTTTCTACCTGAATATAAAACTCTGCTTGTATACAACTTGTAAATAAATGATAAGAAGGTTGCATGCAAATTAAAAAACAGAAGCTCATTGTATATATTAACTGCTTATTAATCTTTTATTTATGCATATTATTTCTAGAACAGTGGCTAGAAATTGAATGTGTGCAAATTTTTTATATAAGAAATGATTTATTTTAGACATTAGTACTATCAGCCAAAAATCCTATTATTTTTCTGAAGTATTTTAATTCTCACAAACATATAATAACAATGAATTATTTTTAAGTTCGTACTGTTTGAATGATTTCACTGTTTCAGTTTACTAGACAAAATGAACTCTGTATTTTAGAATGATAGTGCAATTTTGTTAACATAAAACACAAAACCAAAAAAATGAAATTATTTATTTAGTTGTCTTCATTATTAAAAGAATGATGTTTTCTTCTTTATCTACATAAACCACTAGATGATCTAGTCAAATAAATATCCAACTCTACTAAAAGAATACAAAATGCAAATTCTGTCTGCTTTAGGAAGAAAAATTAGATTCTCCTGAAGGTTTAGGCTTCCCATTCTTCCTTTATGAGACAGAGGACTGTGCCACTCTGCCACCCCTAGTAGCTAAAGAAAACACTTATCATTGAGCCTTATTGGAGGTAGAAGACAGCATTTAAACTAATGTCCATGCAGTATGATACTAGGGATGATTTAAGAACAATAAGCTCCTTACATTTCAGTTAAGATTCCTATTCCCCTAGCTAAATTATTTAGGAAAGTATTGCAATATTGATTCGAGTTAGTAACGTGGGAAAGTATTTGCCTCTGACTGGAAAATACAGGACTTGAAATTGAAGCCCTTGTGAAATTTAAAACTCTTTTGTTCGTTAGGAGTTCTAAAAACAACACTCACCTTTATTAGCCAGAGGGCTAACAGCTTTAACAACAGAAGATTAAACAAATAAACATTTCATAAATGTGTTATCAGACTAATTTTATTTTGAGTTCAGACTTTTAATCACATTTTTGAATATCTGTTGCCTTCTTACTTATCGAACATGTTTATATAATATTATTTGTGCTTTAATGAACTAAAAACATCTATTGTTTCAGAAGATTATTTGGAAAGAAGATGATCTGTACGTTGCAGCAATAATATACTTCAATGTTATTTATTTCAAGTTTCCAATCCCCAAATTTTTACCCAAATCAGAGTTTGCATTTATACATAAATCTATTAAGGTTTTTCCTAATAATAGTTTAGTATTTATTCCCTCTGATATTTGTATATATATATTATCTGAAGCAAAATACATACCTAAATATTTGTGTATTTCCCCAGATACATTTCTTCTATTATCTTTAATAAATCTGCTGCCATTTTCTGCGTGTCTGTTGTAGATGAGAAGCTTTATATACCTACCTCAAATAATCTTTATAATCAGACCTATTACAGAAGAACACACAGACTTATATCAAGAATCTGCCTCCATCACCTACCTTGTAAGGGGTTGAAGTAAGAGCTCAACATTTTCCTTTCTAGCATCAAGCTTATGATCCCCTCACTTCGCCATGTCACCTTTCCATAAAAGAAACCCCAAACTTCATTCCATGAATTAGTTGAACATATATCTCTCCAAAAAGGGAAAAAATAAGTTTCTCACCTAAAAATTAAGTAATGTGCTAAATACATCACCCCTGAAGAATTTACAGTATACCTTAGTCTATAAAACTCCAAAATATTGACTTGCCCCTCGTTTCCTTTCCATTTAAAATGTATCCAAACTTACTGATTGTAGTACTCTTTCTTCAAGTTTTGTCTACTGTCATGTTTTTGCTGCCCTAGTATTTATTAAATTCACAAAGAAATAGCATTATCTGACTAATGTTCATAGTATAGAAGGGGCTAATTTAGGTTAAAGATGGCTAGCATCAGTTTTGTGCTGTAACTTTTGGGGCAGCGATTCAAGATAAAAAAAAAATATTTTCCAAGATGATCATCTAAAATTTCAGGATGTTCAAAAGGATGACTCTAACTGTAAATAATTTTTTTTTCCAAAAATGTATTTTGTTAGAAAAAGAAGCCAGTTGCTGTAGATTGTCCAAGTCATACTTTTTCCCCCCTGCACCAGCACCTCTGGACTAAGTATAGGATATTTGGGTAGTGATTACACATGTACATTTCATTTCCCTTTACTCATTCACTAAGTTTCATGGACAAAGGCCCATGTTAAATCCATTTTTCTGTCAGTCACATAAGGAAATATTTCCTCCCTGTGTTCATTCTAAAGAAAAGGAAAAACTCTCATTTATTACAAGTAGTATCAAGGTAACAAAAGGTTGAATATATGAGCTGTTGACTCATCATAGCAGCAAAGCATACAAAACTATTTCAATAGAAAGGCTTCAAAAGATTTTATGAAAAAATCTGAAACCTAAGCATTGCAGAAAATGTGAAGCTACAAAGTTTGTCTTGAACTTGATATCATATTAAGTATGACGCAGATTAGCCCTTCCAAATACCAGTTTCCTTCATGATATCCCCAATAACATAGAGACCACCACTGGACTTCCTAGATTCCCCAGTTATTTTTATTTTGTTGTCTTTTGTTTTGCTTTCACTGTACTCATTGTACTGCCCAAGGGACTCCTTCCTATTCTGGGAAATACTGTACAGCCAAGTTGTTTTATCCTCCTTTGAGAAATGATTAACTGAAGAAAGAGAAGGCTTGACAGACAGCTTGGAGTTCATGACTGTCTTCAGATACTCAATGCTTCTTAATGCTTCAGGGACAGAAATAGGCTAATGAGACAGAGTTATAGGGAAATAATTTTGACCCCAAATAAGAAGAACTCTGATGCTAGGGTTATTTTTATTTAAACACTTTGCTAGGTACATGACCTATGTCCTTTCCTATATTGTTCCAACCACTTCTTCATGTAGTACATATTATTGTATGTCCACGCTAAGTGAAAAAGTTGTAACTCAGAAAGTAGTTTACAGGTCCAAGGTAACACAAGTGATTGTTGAAGCTGGGATACAAATATATTAGGCTGATATTAAAGTCCATGATTTATTTCACTGCACCCTGCTACTTCCAGGTGGACTGCTTTCTATTCTGTGGAATATCAATCAGCTGATGCTGTTGTTAATTTCTCTGACGTTTACAGAATATATCCAAAGTCATTTGGATTGATTCAATGGATAATATAATCCTTTATCCACTTAATTGTTTTCATTGTCTCCAAAGGGTAAATATTTTGATAATGATACCTAACATTTGGGAAGAGGAATGATCTTTCTTGAATTTCTCCATTATGTATAGAGATTACATATTTGGGAAAGAATTAAGAAACTGTTTTAAGTCACTGTTTATTTCCAGGGTAAACAGCACATCTCTTTCACTTAAGATCATATAATAATTTTACAAAGAGCTTCAGTCAGGAGAATAATTATTCAGTGCCATCTGCTGCATATAATGAATTCTGTTAGCTTCTAATAGGTTCCTTCTTTAAATAGACAGCTTACCAATATAATACTTTTCCTTTTCACATTTTTTTTTAGCTTACAATAGCTTGAGCTCATTTTTTTGCTCAATTCAATTCAGGGCCTGGCAACCTAATCTGAGGGATTGCTTCTAATTGCCTTCAATGGCATCTGGAACTTGTATAGTAACATTTCTTCAAGTTAAAACAAAGAAACTTTTCATATTCAAAGCAACTGCTCTACCAGTGTTGTGATTTTTCATGAATCAATTGTCAAAATAAAACAAGGATAATCTTATTGTCAGTTAATATTTTTGATGTTTTCATAAATATATAAATTTGTATAGAAATTAAAAGGAAATCAGATTAATTATTTAGAAATTGTAATTAGTCCCAAACTGGTCTTGAGTAAAAATAAAGAACTGATCCTAGTTTGCTCCACCGTATCAATCTTCAGTGTCATTGATTACAGTGGGTAAACAGAATTAGCTGGCCCTTTGAATAAGATTAACTGGCTTAGTCTAAGCATTTGAGCTTGCTATGTACCATATTCAATTCCAAACTTCACAAGAGTTTGGGGTGATAGGCTAACAATTCATTTGATTTTGTGGAGGTTTATCCAAAAATCCTCTAATAAAATACCAATTAAAATATCATGGATGTAACTATTTAAACATATTGACTAAATCATCTGGCAATCTGCACAGCTTTAAATGATCTTTAATTATAGTCCTGGGCAGAAGACACAATCAAACTAGAAATGGATTGACCTAATGACTATAACTTCATAACCAGCTTAAGAGTGTGTGTGTGTGTGTGTGTATGTATAAATTGCTATTAAAAATCAAATTTTCTAGAGAACCAAAAATATGTGTGTGAATGGAAATCTTATAGTAAGTAATTCTCATGTAAACAGGTCTTTTTTTTAATAATCAATTCTTGTTTTGAGTATTTGTCTGTTTTTGTCAAGGCTCATATCAAGCTAGCAGAGTACTTTTAAGTACAAATGTATTATATATATGACATTAATTGATGTCATGAATTCCAGATTCCCTGCTGGTAGAAAAACTAGGGCACCCCATTTTGTGTACATAAATACATAATCTCCATATATAGACATTTTAAATCTAGGAAATTGTCGTGTGTGTATATATATATATATAAACACACATATATATGGATATCTCATTTTTAAGAATCAAGTAGGCTAAAGAAAAATTAAATCAAGTGGGCTATAGATGATACCAATATTTTTAAAGAAAATTGAAAGTTTTATTGTCAGTAACAGATCAAAAATTACTTTTGTCAACCTACAATATGCATAGGGATTAGCAAGAATCTTAGGTTATAGGTAGGTAAATATTCCTCCAAAATTATAAAACCCATTTTAATGTCTTGTGTTTAAGGGCATTATATGTTCTATCTGAACCTGAATCCATGGCAAATATTAATAAAACTTAGGTAATATTATGATAACAGCTTATTTATTCATGTAATAAGTCCCTGGATACAAATTTATTAAATCTCTAATGTGTATTAAAATCTAAGTTAAGTATGATAATTTGACAATCCTGACCATGTATTTTTACTTCCAATAATTGCAATTTTAGGAGTCAAATTAATAGAAGAACAAACCAATAGTAACATCCCTGATTAACTAAAAATTATGAGAAGGAAATGGAATGAAACTTCATCTACAGAATCAAGCTGATCTTTATTGAAATTCCAATTGTCTATTTTGCAAAAATGGGCAGGCTCGCCTAATTTTTGCATAGAAATGCAAGGGATCCTGAATAACCAAATAAATCTTGGGGCGGGGGGAGGGGGGAACAGCTGGAAGAGTCACAATTTCCCAATTTCAAACCTACTACGAAACTCTCATAATAAAAACAATGTGATACTGGTAGAAAAACAGATAAACACTATCAGTGGAAAAGAACTGAGAGTCCAGAAATAAACATTTCTGTAGTCAGTTGATTTTGAGAAGGGTATTAAAACTATTCAAAGGGGAAACTAACAGTTTTTTAAACAAATGATGCTGTGATAAATGCTGTCTACAAGCATACAGGAAAATGATTCTGTACCCCTACCTAACACCGTATGCAAAATTAATTCAAAATGGATAAAAAAAAAACTAAATGGAAGAATTGAAACTATAAAAATCATAGAAGTATAGATATACATTTTTATGTACTTAGATTAGAGAACAGATTCTTAGCTATAACATCAAAGATACAAGCAACAAAAGAAAAAAGATAAATTGGATTCATCACACTAATAACTTGTGCATATCAAAGGATACTATCAAGAGAGTGAAAAGGCAATCCATAAGATGGGAGAAAATATTTTCAAATCATATATTTGGTAAGTTCCTACTATCAAAAATACATAAAGAACTTTTACAATTCAACAATAAAAAGATAATCCAATGGCAAAATAGACAATGTATTCTAGTAGACATTTCTGCAAAGAAGAAAAGTCAATAAGCACATGAAAAGATGTTCAACTTCATTTGTCATTAGGAAAATGCAAATCAAAACCACAATGTGATGTCATTTCACACACACTAGGATGGCTATAATTATAAAACAGAAGAAAAATAACAAGTCAATGAAGATGTGGGGAAATTTGAACCCTCATTCGTTTTTGATGGGAATGTAAAATGGTGTAGCTGCTTTGGAAACACGTTGGCAGTTCCATCAAAAGTTATACAGTTACCGTATGATACAGTACTTCTACTCTCAAGAAAATTAAAAATATATGTTCACATAAAATTTGTACACATAAGTTCAGAGCAGCATGATTCACAATAGCCAAAGAATCCAACTGCATCTACCAATGAATAGATAAAATGTGTTATTTCTGTACAATGGAATATAATTCAGTCCTTAAAAGGAATTAAGTGTGGAAGCATTACAATATGAATGAACTTTGAAAACATTATACTAAATGAAAGAAGCCAGTCACAAAAGACCACATATTGTATAATTCAATTTGTTAAATGTCCAGAATAGACAAATCCATAGATACAGAAAGTAGATTAATGGTTTCCAGGAGACATGGAAAAGAACAATTTGAAGGTGTGAGGTTTCTCCTTGGAGTGATGGAAATATTCTGCAATGAGGTAGTACTGATGGCTGTAATACACTTAACACCACTTTTTTTTTTTTTTTTTTTTTTTTGAGACGGTGTCTTGCTCTGTCGCCCAGGCTGGAGTGCAGTGGCACAATCTTGGCTCACTGCAAGCTCCGCCTCCTGGGTTCATGCCAATCTCCTGCCTCAGCCTCCCAAGTAGCTGGGACTACAGGCGCCCGCCATCATGCCTGGCTAATTTTTTGTATTTTTTAGTAGAGACGGGGTTTCACTGTGTTAGCCAGGTTGGTCTCGATCTCCTGACCTCGTGATCCACCCGCCTCGGCCTCCCAAAGTGCTGGGATTAAAGGCGTGAGCCACCACGCCCGGCCTAAATTATACCTTTTAAAATGATTATAACGGTGAATTTTATGTTATGTGAACATCTCAAAAAATATATAAAAATAATTAAAGTACTTTCATACATTTTTATTTACCGCAAAGGGGCACTGCTGCGCTTCCTTTGCCATGCTTTCTAGCCTCATTTCCAACACCCTAAAAACACATCCTTCACTCTGTTACAAGTAATTGTTTGATGTTTTTGTAATGATCCTGTTTCATGACTCTGCGCCTTTGTTTATATTGTTTCGTATGCCTGGAATTCACTTTTCCTAGCATCTTCTTAAGGCCTATTCATTCTTCATATCCCAACTTCATTGGCCAGGATAATGTATTTGATTATGGTTTGGCTTATTTAATTCTACTCGTTACTACTTTGCACTTTCAGTTACAGCTCTTATTCTACTAACCTGCAAACATTGATTTATTTGAGTGTTTCTGATACTATATTCTTAGTTCCTTACTGCCACGTAATACCAAGTAAAGTGTTTGACACAAGGTGGTCACTTGCAAGTATTTGAAGACTCAAGAAAGGTAAAAAGTTTCATCAAAGCTCGGCTGAACTGGAGAATCTTGTGTTACCAGGTATCAGAGTAACCAAGACAACAAGGCAAAATGAAAGGAGCAATTAAGCCTTTAATCACTTATTGCAGTAGTATAAGCAAAAGGCTAAACCAGAGAAAACTCTGATTCTCTTCAGTGTTGCATTTTCCTCATGGAACAATGTGTCAGTAGAGGATCAGCACAGATGTAGGGGTTGTCTCACAGCAAAGGAGCTCCAGAACAAGGATTTTATGGGTCACAGGGACCAAGTTGATGAGAATGGTAGAGGAAGGTGAAGGTAAAAAGCTAAGAGTTAAAAAGTTCTGAGTACTTCAGTCAGAGTGGGGTAAAGAAAAGTGTCTTCAATGTCCTTTCTGTCTCCCCATAAGGAAATCTTGACAGAGGCACCTGAGGAAGGCATCTGCTGAAAGCCCTGGATAGACACACCTCCAGATGAAAGCTCCTAGGCTAAGAAAGCAGGTATGTAGGATAGCATGGTTGGAAAGAGGGGCCTCAATCCTGGCCCGTAATTCCCTTCAAAGACTGCGATGCATTGGCTACACACCATGCCTTGTAATTGCCCTTGGCCAGACCTGAAAGTCACACCTAGAATTTTAGCCAGAAGCGTGACTCTTCAAAAATAAAAAGAGGGGAATCCCCTCCTATTTATAGTCATGAGGGACATTCAAATCAAAATCACAATGAGATGTGACTTCACACCCACTAAGATAGGTATGAAAACACAAACAAAAAACACAGTACAAAATGCTTTAACTTTACAAAATAAGTGCCCTGGGAGAGACTTTAAAAAAACATTACTAGGATTTTGAGAAATGAATTATAAGATCATAAAATCCTTCATTGATATACTATTGAAAAATTGACTGGATTTTTATGAGTGCTTAAAAACACCTTAATTATTAGAAGGAGACTAAGCAAAGTGTCAAACAAAGTAGCAGAGCATAGTATGCATGCAGAGAACAGAGACTGAATTTCTAATGTTTCCGGGGTATATGTAGGGAAGTCCCAGAAGATAACAGTGGAAAATAAATCGCTTGCGATCATGGTATAAAATGACTTTAGTAAAGCCTGTCATTAGTTCTGAATGAAATTTTGAGCCATTTAAAATTTTGATTCCTTTGATAAATGATTTGCTTTAAGAAAACCATTTAAAGTTCTCTTTCATTATCAGAAAAAATAATTTATGAATATTCAACTTTTTAAATAGTCTAATTTTTGTTTTAAAATAGACAAGGCTATTTTCAATGATTGATAAGGCATACGTATATGAAAGATTGTATATTCATTTGTCTCCTCTAATATAATACAGGCAACTTGAAAGATGAACTTATCTGGTTTAATTTTGTGGCTCCAAAACTTCTGCCTTGTGCAGAGAAAGTAATCAATAAATGTTTCCAGATTAAACACAATTATAAAGTTACTACTCACCATAGTGTTGACATTCAATAAATGCACTTAACTCAGAAATGAAACTAAATATATTTCACACATTGTTTTTTATTTATAAGCTCCTCAAAGTACCTTAAAATTTTTCACACTTACAGGTAAACAAAGAATAATACTCGATGCCAGTATATGTAAAAATATTGCTTGCATAAAATGTATTTTTGTTTTCCATTCTGAATAAATGGCATTCAATTAATTTAAGAAATTTGCATCATTATGATAATATTAAACCATTGCATGATAATATTAAACCATCGCATTGTTGAATGTAGTTGTTTTTATTTTGTTTGGAAAATAGTTGCTATATCCTAACATTATGATAACCTTGTAGGCAATCATTGTGTTTATTCCGCATAAGTGTAATTGTGAATGCTGTTAAACTGTTAGCAGGTTATAAAGATGAAAAGTTGTTGCTTTAAAATTATGCGAGAAAATTTGGTAGTTTTGCTTTATAGTTAACATAGCCTTTATTGCGTTTTCAAACCTGTTGCCTGATTAGCTGGATTGCACACCACCTGATACTAGACTAGGGCACACCAACAGAGTCAAATTTGATTAAATATGCATGTAGATGAAATCTGTATTCAATATTTTAAAATATTTCTATGCTGGGAGGCATTGCACTCCTTGGCTTAAGCATTCTTCTCTTTTCTTGCTTTATTGACATGATTGCAATCACCAACCAATCAAATTTAAAAAATCAAGTGAACAAAACTATTGAGTAGCTTTTAAGTACAAAGAGCTATACTGGGCAAAGGAGATGGAGCAAGATTTCAGAGATGTCAAAAAGAGAGCTTTGTTTTGTAGGAGTTTACAATTCTTTTCAAATGAATATCCATGGTCTTGCTCTGAGATCAGAAATAAACAAATTTATATCTCTGTGGTAGGCCCTTGGTCATCTATTTACTCTTGTTTCTGGTTAGAGCCTGAAAAATTGAAAGAGTTTACTCCAGATTTAAGTAGATACAATTCAAAAGAAGGGGGCAGGAGAAAAGAAAGAAAAAGAGAAAGAAGCAGAGAGAATGAAGTAGTGGACTTTGAGTCTGTATCTATATATCCTCAGTGTCTCTAGCAGTGCATTAGCTTGGAAGTATGTATTAGGCTCCCATGTCTTAGGCAGGAGCTTAATACAACATTCACTGAGGAAGGAAATATAAATTAAATATACGATTTTGTCCTTGTCCTCAATTTGCAAGGACAATTTTATTTGAGTAACTCATCTTTTGTTCAAAGTGGTATAGTCCCTTGATGCATCTTGTTCAACACTCATTATATGAGTAATGAAACATGGCTTTTTGTGATGGTGGTAGGGTATGGAAGAATGATGGAGGAGTTCATTGCCAAAGCCAGTGTGCTGGACAATCAGCCTCAAGCCTAGAATCCAGGTTTCTAACTCCTTCTTACAGGCTCATCTCACTGTATAACATACCACCTCCAAAACCTCAAGTCACAAGAGAGTGTCTGTGGACTCTTCAAAGCCCCAATATACTTAGACCTGATATCCCAATATGCAGTTTATTTAAAAAGAAACAAGACATACACACACACAAACACGTATACACACACACACACACACACAATGTTATTTAGCTTACTTAGCAAATTAGAACTGAAATTTGTTCAAAGCAAACAGTGAAGAGATACACAAAGAATACACAGTATGATGGAGATCAGTGCTGTGGTTCAGAGGGGGAACAAAGCAGTGTGGATTGAGGCAGTAGGGGAAAGGGACAGGGTTCCTTCCTGAACTAAATTTCAAAACAGAGCCATCCAGCTGGGAGAATAATATTCTAGTATGCTTAGTCTGAACACAGCAAAACAAATCTTCTTAAAGTGAGATTTTCTCCCATGTTTGGGAGGTGATAGAACCTGATATGAGCAGTGATCACGGCTTTCTAAATTTGGCAATTCTCATCATCAGCTTCCTAGAGTCATTACTGTCAAGGGAGGTTTTACGTTTAACCATAGGTCATCTGGACACCAGATTTTTTGAACGCCAGATTTTCTTGTAGTATTTATGAGTGCCCATCAACATATATTGAGAAAAGCAGAGAAATAATTCTGCTCTTGCTATAAAATTACTTCAGATCGTTTCTTAATTTTATTTTAAAAATTTTTATTAGAAATGTGGGATAAAATGTTACATTTAAGTTTAAGTTTGTAGAGTTTCTTTCTGCCTGCAACTTTGGGTTTCAGGTAAATCTCACATTTTATAATCTTTGTCAATACTAAAAAAGTCAGTGAAATTATTTTTTATAAAAAAAAAGAGCAGCACCAAAATAAAAACAGGACAAGGCTTAACTCATATTGTGCTACGGAGAAAAGAAAACACAAAATATTGTTCATTTATTCAGTCATTTCCTTGGTAATAAGTTATTTTATGCTACAAAATTTTTATGTAACTAAATTGTACCTCTTTAAGTATCAATTATTAAAATTTCAAAATATTTTATATAAAAATATATCATAGTGACCCTTGATATTTAAAAAGGCTGTATCTTAATGCTTTTCAAGCTAACATTTTCAGTCATCTAGTATTGTAGTGATATAGTAGATAATTCCTACTATATCAAATTCAATAAAGCATATTATATGGCAGAATTTCTGTGTTCTGTATTTAAATTGAGCAATGAATGTGGGACAGTGCTATAGTTTCTTATTAGTTCAGTCAATTCCCTTTATAAACTGGTCTTATAGTATGATTAAAATTTGTGTTACAGATCAATAGCAAATAATTTCAGTATATTGATTTCACGCTTATATTCAAATAAACTATGTCACACATTAAGACCAAAAGAGTTATTCTTTTGGTTCATGATCCCTATTTAAATATTTATTATTTTCAGAGTTATAATCTCTAGAGTTGAAATTGCCAGCAGATAACCTATAAATTAATATCTTTACCCCCAACATATACAGCTTATGGAAAATTTTCAAATAAAATGGAATTTTGTGGGAATAAGTTGAGTATTCAAAGTAAATATCTTAACCATACAACATGCCTGAAAGATTATCGGAACAAGGTGACCTAATAAGCTTATGTATTTTTTATTTTAAGATAGTCTGAAAATGTAGTTTTCAAACTTCTACAGGATATGAGAAAAGATAAGAAGATTTCTTAGTAATACATCAACAGTTGGCAAGACTTTATTAAGCAGAGTGGTTAAAAGCAGCATAGTGTTAACAATATGAGATTTGGAACCAAATATACAGGCGTAGAAATACTAGCAACCGTACTGCATGGTTTCAACATGTTAACTAAATCTCTAGATCTCATTTCCCTTCTCCAAAACTGAGAAATAATTATAGGTAAACAGTAAGATTGGATGAGAAATTAATGAGATAATACATATAAAGTGCTTAGAACAGAATCTGGACCATAATTAGCACCCCAATGTTTGCTAGCAAAGTGATCTATGTGTTCTACCTTACCCCATTTTCAATATATGTTATTTAGCTTTGGAAAATGTATAATCAAAGCACTAAAGCATATGGCCCGATTATAGTAAATTTACCTGAAGTTAAGAGAAGGCAGAGATCCTTTGCTATAGTCTGCAAGGCCTGTATAAAGGGCTTACTCCATGTATATAAATATATGAATAAGAACTTGGTATCTATCATTATAAGTGCTTAAGATGGCAAGTTCTCTTTGCTGATTTAGTTACTTAATATTCATAACCAGGAGCAGTCCTGGTTGTTAGGTCAAAGCAGCATTATGAGAACCCAAAATGGCCAAGAATAGGGATGCATAGTCTTCCTAGACTCCATCTTTTCCAGAGATGATAATTTAATCCTAAATTTTCAATACAAACTATGTGCTTACTAGAAATAGAATGTAGGTGTTAATACCAAACATATTTTGATGCCTCACATACCTCTAATGCTTAACTTTAATATCTGTCTTTATGGCCGGGCACGGTGGCTCATGCCTATAATCCTAGCACTTTGGGAGGCCGAGGCGGGCAGATCACCTGAGATCAGGAGTTTGAGACCAGCCTGGCAAACATGGTGAAATCCGTGTCTACTAAAAATACAAAAATCAGCCCGGCGTGGTGGCAGGTGCTGGTAATCCCAGCTACTTGGGAGGCTGAGGCAGGAGAATCACTTGAACCCGGGAGGCAGAGGTTGCAGTGAGCTGAGATCATACCACTGCACTCCAGCCTGGGTGACAGAGCAAGTCACTCCAGCCTGGGTGACAGAGCAAGTCTCTGTCTAAAAAAAAAAAAAAAAAAAAAAGAGAAGAAGAAGAAAACATCTGTCTTCATTTGGCAGCAGTTGGAGCTATAACTGTATCCAATGTTTTTAATGAACAGACAAAAGTGATATTTTTGAATAGTGGTCATCCAGCAGTGCAGAGACCCAAAAACTTGCAAAAACACCATAGATTTATATGACCCTTATCATTGGAGCACCACCTTATTTTCTTGAATATACACCAGACCATCAATGACTAGAAAATGCTGGAAAGAACATAGGAACTTTAGGGACAACCATGACATTCCTTTGAGATTATCCAAGCTTATGTTATTGCCTATTATGACGTACTTGATATTATTGTTATAACTAGTTTAAAATATCCTTTTGCTTATGTAACACAGAGTTGTTATTATAACTTTTGCTTTCAGTAACTCAACAAAATCAAAACTCAAACCATGTGATTAGTATAATACCATGTCCAAAATTAAGACCCATCTTTGGTCTACAAATAAAATGTTTTAACAAAGACTTGACCATTCAAGATTGCTACAGAAATCAATAAAATTTGGCCTATAGTTCTGTTCTTTTAAAGAAATTATGATTCTGTGAGTAGCGTAATATTAAAAAGAAAAAATAATGAAGATTGTTATGCTGATAGAGTTACACATGCAATTAGCTCTAATAATTTGTGATATGATATCCTTATCTCCTTTAGTCAGATAAGAAAACAGAGGCTTGATGAATTTCTATCTTGAAAAAGCCATATTACTGGGAAGTGACCAAACCAAAAATAACTCTTTAATTGAAGTCCATTCGTCTTACTGATAAGATAAATTTCACCACCCATAGTCTTGGTTGAAGGAAGAATTTAAGTGTGTATGTTATTATTTAAGTGTGTATGCTATGATAGAATTAAAGTGAAGAAGACAGTACTAAAGAATATTTAGATTTATGTACAAACCCAGCATTTAAAAATTTGTATCAGAAAATAAGAATCTGATCAGCTCAAATGATAGACTATCTTCTGAGCAGCATTTATCTTTCATATCTTTCATAGCCTTAGCTGGCTGGCACCACTGATATCCTCTGTTGACAGTCTTTGCTTCAACCAAATCTTGAGTCAATTTGCCTATTTTTAATTTTTCTGACAATTGATAGACATATATATTTATGGGGTGCAAAGTGGCATTCTTATTTTTACTATATTACAGAATGCTTAAATAAGTTAATTTGCATATTCACTGCCTTAAATATTTAATAATTTTGTGATAAGAGCAAACTTATTCTTCCTTGAGCCAATTTAGTACAGGGGTACAATTATTTTTTACAGTCTTAGCCTACCAAGAAGTGAGAGTGCTGCCTAAGACCTGGTGTCTTAAGAACTTGGAGAAAATCTGAATCCTATTGTGTCTACAGGGTTAAGAACTGATCTTTCAATTTCTCTTTTAATTCCTCTGCTATGATGCCAGTCACTTCAAGTAAAGCCAAACCATATAGTGGAAGAGTAAACTGTATTCAAAATCAGATGGAGTAGGTTTGAATTCCAGCTTAGATAGTTACTAGCTATATGACACATATGACTATATTCTATATAGACTAGGTTATTTGTGAAAAATACATATTGTGAATGTAAGGGGTTTGCCATAGTTCTGGACACATAATAGTTTCACACAATATGGCTACTCTTTCAATATTAATTACCAACTGGATATGTGTCTCAGTTTATGCATCAAAAGCTCTGTTTTCCCAAAATGGTGCAAAATTTCTGACAAGCACTCCCCCCTATTTGATGAACACGTTAAAAGAAAAACTTTAGAAAAATTAAATTTAACAGGTTTGGATTGAGCAAAGAATGATTCACCAGTGAGGCAGCCTTCAGAACCAGACAACGTTCATAGAGTTCTAATCCAACATTTAGGCTGGCAGTATTTCTAAACAGAAAAGGGAAGTGATGTACAGAAACACCTTGATTGATTACAGATCAGGGTTTGCCTTATTTGGGCATAGTCTGATTAGGTGGCAGGCTGTGATTGGCTGCAGCTCAACTGCTGTAATTGGCCGAGACAGCTATTTGTTAAAACCAAATACTCTTAATTTAGGCTTTCAGTTTGTCTACATAGCAAGCTACCTGGCAGTTTGCTGTGTAGGGACTTAAGGTACAAAGGCAGCCTCAGGCCACATTTTCTTTAACAAATCATGATATATAATCTTAACTTTAAGATCTATCTTCATCTGTCATCAATTGGAGCTATAACTGTATCATCATCATAAATATCATATTTGTTAAATGAAAATAATACAGTTTTATATATAAACAAATTGTGGCATGATTGGAATCTGGCCCTCATAGGCCTTGCTATCTTTTAGGTATATAATCTATGTTCTGGTTATCTATAGCTATAAAACTAGCCACCCTGAAATTATGTGGCATAAAACAACAACTATCTCATCATGCTCTCAATTACATTTATCAGGAATTTAGGCAAAGAACAACAGATATGACTCATCTCTGCTCCATAAAGACTTGGGTCTCAGCTTAGGTGGCTCAAATGGCTGGAGATGGCTAGGACAATTTGACTAGGGCCATATGCTGTGAACTAACAGTTCTCCCTGTTGGTACGTTTCTTCAGTTTTCCACATCTTTGGTTATGTCTGGTGTGGTCAAGAATATCCATAAAGGCTTCTTCACTCACATGCTGGTGCCTTGCCTATGATGGTTGGACAAGCTTTGGCTAGCCAGGCATCTTGCTCTCTCCATTGTCTCCCCACATAGATAGCTTGGAGTTCCTCATGGCCTAAGTTATCAGGGTAGTCATATTCCTTACATGAAGGCTGACTTCTCCAAGAATGAGCATTCTAAGTGGCTGGATAAAAGCACCATCCAATGTTTTTTTGTTTTTTGTTTTTGTTTCTTTCTGAGAGAGAGAGAGGTTCTCGTTCTGTCACGAAGGCTGGAGTACAGTGGTGCAATCATGGCTCATTGCACGCTTAACATCTGGGCTTAAGTGATCCTCCCACCCCAGCTTCCTGGGTATCTGGGAGCACAGGCACAGCTACTTTTTAATATGTTTTTTGTAGAGATGGGATCTCCCTATGTTGCACAGGCTGGTCTCAAACACCAAGGCTTGAGTGATCCTCCTGCATCGGTTTCCCAAAGTTCTGGGCTTACAGGCATGAGCCACTGCATTCAGCCTCATGTATTTCAAGTAGCCACATGGAAGACATGAATGACTTAGCCTTGGAAGCTTCAAAACACAGAATTCTGCTTCATTCTACTGGTCAAGCAAGTCATTAAAGCCACCCCAAACCTAAAGGTGGGTAAAATAGATTTCACCTTTTAATTGCAAAAGTAACAAAGAATATATTATCTTTAACCTCCCCACTCTATTAGGACTTCTCATCAGGAACTGTGGTAGATCTTGGTTGTGTTTACTGCTTTATACTGTATCTACTAGCAGGCTTTGATTTTTAAAGTGAAATTTTCTAGATATCTGGCCTTAGGCATTTTGCTTAACCTAAATACATTTAATTATTCTTATCTCTCACTGAGAACATATTAGCTATTTCATAGGGTTTATTTATAATAAAGGTAATGTCTAACACATGTTGAGCTCTCAATAAATGGCAGCTGCTATTATAATCATCGTTGTCATCAGCATACATTATATGTAAATTATATGAATTCATATTGCCTTCCTAAAACCAAGCCCATGTTCCTCAGATCTCTTTAGTCCTTAAGTTTGGCTGATTTAACCTTCATCATGGAGGACAATTTCATGATTTTGTCTTCCCTATCTACCTGCTATTTCATTTACATTCAACTTCTTCCTTCTCAATATACCTGAATTATCAGAATAATAACTTATACTTAGGCTCAAGTATACCTGAACAGTGTAAGTATAACTTACATTGTTAAAATTATTCCAGGATTTAGATGGAATAGTGTGGACATATTCTCTGATGCCACTGCAGAGTGAAGATGTGCTCCACCATCACACAAATGGAATATTATTTTAAGCCATTGAACTATTTCTGCTACATTAACCAATCTATGTTTAAGTTTAAATCCTGTATAAAACATGGAATATTTCATCAATGAACTAATAACACTTGTACCTTTGTAAATACTTAAGTTTTCTACTTTTCTGTATCCAAGAGAACTTAATACCTACAGTAGGCTTATCTTGAGAAAGTTTAGCAAAGGAGCAATACGTGTCTTTTTATTGTCAGTCTTTGATCAGGGTTATGGTTAAAACCTCTGAATTTTTTCACAGTTATTCCAAGAAACCCTTGGATTTTGAGGCAAAGGAGACTATACTTGATTTTCTTTTTTTTTTTTTCCTTTGTTATTCTCTTCGTGAATGCCTATCAAAGAGCATTGGTAATTTAGTGTGAGGTGTTTTCCCTTCTTCATGATTTAGTTCCATTGGAGAATTTGTGATTAAATTATTGAGAATAGAGATCATATTTTTATAATTTTTGGCGGTCTAGTTAGGTTATCAGCCAGTGACTATAAGTAGAAAATGAACATTAAAAACATTTAAACCTAAAGCTTTTTAAAGAGACCAAGTTAATTTGCCGAGAGATAACATCTTTAGGTCTGTTTTTCATGTCTGCATAAAGCAAGCTTGCTACACACCAAATTCATGTGCATTAAAGAATTAACCAAGAATCCCTACATATCGTTAATTAACCAGGACTACGTTAGCTATAAAAGTTCTATTATGTAGCGGGATTTAATGTGAAGATTACAAGGCTTCTAACTACTTTGACACAGTACCTACACTCAATGGGTGCTGTCTATGCTGAAGCTGCCACTTCAAATCTGTTTGGAAAGAACTATCTTGAGCAGTGTGGCTGCATTCAATGCCAATCAAATTCTATTAATCCTAAATAATATTAAAATTTATTATATATACAATTTGTATATAATTTTAAGGCCTCTCAAAGAGTGGATAATTGCACACTTTTGAAGAATTTTGAATGACTGAATTATAAACTGTTAACACTGTTGCCAAACCGTCACACAACTCTAGAAAGGTAACAAAGTACTCTGTTTTTTGAAATGATTAAGCCTGGATGATTTTACTTCCAGCTATTAGGATATTGTCAGAAATACATACCTCACATGAACTAAAGCCACTCGGCATATGTAAAGGTAGGCTTTCTCTTTTATTTGCATTCGATTTAATAAAATATGATTATTTTATATGTAGCATGGCATTTACTTCCTTCACTTCATTTATTTTATGTTACTTCACTCTGGCAAGCCATTTGGCACTATTATATCTGTTCCTATATAAATAGAGTTAATGACATATGTGGACTTACAATCACATAGCACAACAATCTTGAATTAAATACCCTTATTGTATCCATTTTACAAACAGGAAAGTGGAGGCAAAGAGAAGGTGAGTAACTTGCTCAAGTCGAAAAGTGACGTTAAGTTACTGTTTGGATTTGTTTTATACTGCTGCCATCAAATTACCACAGCTTCAAACAACACTTACTTATTATCTCATAGCTTTGTAGGTTAGAAGTCTGACCTGGGCTCACTGGATACAATCAAGGTGTTGGTGGGACTGTTTCTTATTGGAAAATCTGGGAAATAAACCATTTCAAACCCCATTCAAGTTGTTAGCCTACTTCAATTTCTTGAAGTTGTAAGACTGAGGATCTTGTTTCCTGGTTGGCCATCAACCACAAAGTGTTTGCTCCTAGAGGCTGTCTGCGTTCTTTCTCTTGTTTACCGTGAGCTCCTAGAGACCTCTCAGTCTTTACACTGTTACTGGCTCCTAACTCTCAGAACAACCAGTGGTGAATCAAATATTTCTTAAGCTTAGAATCTGCCACACGCATACATCTTTGACTCCAGCCAGGGAAAGTTCTCTACTTATGTGATTAGACAGGAAGATTATCTTGGTAGATTATCTGGCCCACCCAGATAATCCAGGATAATTGCCCTATTTAAGGATCAGTAATCTTAATTACATCTGGAAGTTGCTTGTTTGGTTGTTTGTTTGTTTGCTTGCTTGTATATTTGTTTTGCCACTGATATAATCCATTCGCAGATTCCATGGATTATGTATGGATATTGCTAGGGCGTTACTTAGCCTGCCATACGATTGTTCAATTTTTATACAGTATTCATTTTAGTTTTGTTTACCCTGAAAAACCACTTAAAGATAATTTACTACAGATAACTTACTCCACTTTATTTGGAGCAAGACTCTTTAATCAAAGTGGTGACAACTGCAGACTAATGATAATCTTGACATAGGCAGCTCTCCTACCTTTATTTTACTGTTTAGCTTACTAACTGTCTCAGTAAAGGTTTCATATATGGAGCAACAGGAGAAGATTAAAGAAGAAAAGAAGCAGTCACTTCTTAGACAAAAGGCTGTGCCCTAAAAAAAGTCCCCATCTTTCTCTGGGTCTTCCTGAACAGAGAGGTAGGGAAAACAGAATAAACTTCCCTAGCAACTCTCTAAAAGTTATACACATATCTCTCTATGCATTTGTCCTAAGTTTTACTATTACAGGCTGCTGTGCCAAAAGGTGTAATTCTCTCACTTACTCTTTCTCAACTGCTGCTGGAGAATTTTGTGATAATGCACCAATGAGGTGCAAAGCCCTTTCTTTATATAATTATCACTCATGAATAATGATTTACAAACCTACAGGAACTCATCCGAATTAATGATCTATTCATTCTTGGTTTATAAATTATTCACAATAGGCATGATAATTAATTCAACTTGAGTAATCATTGGAAATAAATCTTGACTGGTTTAGGGTTCCTTAACATGTTTTATTCATTCTATTGACTATGTTTTAGAGACAACATAAATTAAGCCCATAAAGAGAAATATATAATAATAGAAGGGGGATATGAGAAGGAACAGAACACGTGACAGAGTTAGTGAAAGGATTGCCAAAGAAATGATGATCAGCTGAGATTCATGGTATATGTGGTTATTTGAAAGACCAGAGTTAGGCAGACAAGCAATAAATAGCAAAAATTATATATATAATGATATATTATATTACAAAATTGTATATCATTATATATTATATTATAAAAGTATATATCATTATATATTATAGTATATTATAAAATATATAAAATTATTAAAATATAATTTTATATATTATAAAAATATATAAAGTTATATATTATATAATTATATTCTATATATAATTATAGGGTATATAATTATATTCTATTTATAATTTTAGGGTATATAATTATATTCTATATATAATAATAGGGTATATAATTATAATCTATATATAATAATAGGGTATATAATTATAATCTATATATAATAATAGGGTATATAATTATATTCTATATATAATAATAGGGTATATAATTATATTCTATATATAATTATAGGGTATATAATTATATTCTATATATAATTATAGGGTATATAATTATATTCTATATATAATTATAGGGTATATAATTATATTCTATATATAATTATAGGGTATATAATTATATTCTATATATAATTATAGGGTATATAATTATATTCTATATATAATTATAGGGTATATAATTATATTCTATATATAATTATAGGGTATATAATTATATTCTATATATAATTATAGGGTATATAATTATATTCTATATATAATTATAGGGTATATAATTATATTCTATATATAATTATAGGGTATATAATTATATTCTATATATAATTATAGGGTATATAATTATATTCTATATATAATTATAGGGTATATAATTATATTCTATATATAATTATAGGGTATATAATTATATTCTATATATAATTATAGGGTATATAATTATATTCCATATATAATTATAGGGTATATAATTATATTCCATATATAATTATAGGGTATATAATTATATTCCATATATAATTATAGGGTATATAATTATATTCCATATATAATTATAGGGTATATAATTATATTCCATATATAATTATAGGGTATATAATTATATTCCATATATAATTATAGGGTATATAATTATATTCCATATATAATTATAGGGTATATAATTATATTCCATATATAATTATAGGGTATATAATTATATTCCATATATAATTATAGGGTATATAATTATATTCCATATATAATTATAGGGTATATAATTATATTCCATATATAATTATAGGGTATATAATTATATTCCATATATAATTATAGGGTATATAATTATATTCCATTTATAATTATAGGGTATATAATTATATTCTATATATAATTATAGGGTATATAATTATATTCTATATATAATTATAGGGTATATAATTATATTCTATTTATAATTATAGGGTATATAATTATATTCTATTTATAATTATAGGGTATATAATTATATTCTATTTATAATTATAGGGTATATAATTATATTCTATTTATAATTATAGGGTATATAATTATATTCTATTTATAATTATAGGGTATATAATTATATTCTATTTATAATTCTAGGGTATATAATTATATTCTATTTATAATTCTAGGGTATATAATTATATTCTATTTATAATTCTAGGGTATATAATTATATTCTATTTATAATTCTAGGGTATATAATTATATTCTATTTATAATTCTAGGGTATATAATTATATTCTATTTATAATTCTAGGGTATATAATTATATTCTATTTATAATTCTAGGGTATATAATTATATTCTATTTATAATTCTAGGGTATATAATTATATTCTATATATAATTCTAGGGTATATAATTATATTCTATATATAGTTCTAGGGTATATAATTATATTCTGTATATAGTTCTAGGGTATATAATTATATTCTGTATATAGTTCTAGGGTATATAATTATATTCTGTATATAGTTCTAGGGTATATAATTATATTCTGTATATAGTTCTAGGGTATATAATTATATTCTGTATATAGTTCTAGGGTATATAATTATATTCTGTATATAATTCTAGGGTATATAATTATATTCTGTATATAATTCTAGGGTATATAATTATATTCTATTTATAATTCTAGGGTATATAATTATATTCTATTTATAATTCTAGGGTATATAATTATATTCTATATATAATTCTAGGGTATATAATTATATTCTATATATAATTCTAGGGTATATAATTATATTCTATATATAATTCTAGGGTATATAATTATATTCTATATATAATTCTAGGGTATATAATTATATTCTATTTATAATTCTAGGGTATATAGTTATATATAATTGTATAGTATATAATTATAGGGTATATAATTATGTATAATTGTATAGTACATAATTACATATAAAATTACATAATTATACATAATTACATAGTATATAATTATATATAAAATTATATAATTATACACACAATTATATGTTATATTATAAAATTATATAATATATAATTATATTAAAAATTATATATAAAATTCTATTTCATAGCATATAAGACTGAAATCTTCTTGTTGTAATTTATAGCTGAAATACCTAAGTTGTAAAGACATTTTTCCTTTTGAATTAAGTTCTGGGAGAAAATGATTTTTCCTCTTGAATTTTTTTTTTAATAGGTGTCTCATGGTGATTTTAAGAAAGAGATGTAATCTACATTGTGCAATTATGGAATCTCCAAAGCAAACATTGTAAGAGATTTTAAATATCTGATATACTATCTAAGAATGCACAACATAGGCCATATATGTCACATTTACATCAAATAATATTTGCTTAAACATGAGAATGAGTAAGCAAAATTCTTATCATACTGTTCTTGGTCTGGGGTTCAGGAATAAAAAAAAATATTTACATCACTCAAACATTGTTCCTATGTCTTATCTATCGGGCTTAGATCTAACTTTGTTGCATCTACCAGATCCCCTCACTAATCTTATTGGGTTATACGGTGTGTTCCTATATGACAGATTTGCTATATTCTGTTTTAAAAAGGAAACATGAGATAGCTCAGGACATGGCTCATCCAGGTCACTGGAATAACCCAGAATATAAACTTGCTCCTTGGAACAGGGCATGCAGAATGCCTCACATTCAGCTGAAGTTGTTGGAAAGAAATAACAATCCAGCAAAATAATGTAATAAACACACAAAGCCTTCTGTGACTCATGGTAAGTGGTAGCTCTAACCCAAGGACTAGAAGAACTTGTCAGGAAGACATCTGGAAGTAAATGGGCCAGGATTCAATTAGGGTAGCATTATCAGGGTCTAACAGAAAGTAGACAAGTTCTGGTTGGCTGGGCATGGTGGCTCACTCCTGTAATCTCTGCACTTTGGGAGGCTGAGGTGGGCAAATCACCTGAGGTCAGGAGTTTGAGATCAGCCTGGCCAACATGGTGAAACCCCGTCTCTACTAAAAATACAAAAATTAGCCGGGTATGGTGGCACACTCATGTAATCCCAGCTACTCTGGAGGCTGAAACAAGAGAATCGCTTGAACCTGGGAGGCGAGGTTGCAGTGAGCAAGATCAAGCCACTGCACTCCAGCCTAGGTGGCAGAGTGAGACTCTGTCTCAAAAAACAAACAAACAAACAACAACAACAACAAAATAGTTCTGATCATTTCTAGCCAAAGAGTTGAGCTAATACATAAATAAATAAATAAATCAGGAGGGTCTAATTTCCTGTGCTTTAAAAGGCATAAGGCAGGAGTTCACTTAGCAGAAAAATAAATACATCATCATAAACTCAGCGCTGACTTGGTACCAGCTGCTGCAGGGCCACAGACTTTTATTTTTTGTGTCTCAGGTAGAGATTGAGTCTAGAGAGTAGAGGAAGATTGGAAACCAGTACACCCAACAACCGGTAAGCAAGGCCATTTGTAATAGTTATTGTAATTGTTCTCAAATTAGGTATGCCAGAATTCCTGGAGTAGATTAGTAAAAATGCAGATTCTAGTTAATCACTCAAACTGATTCTCTGGATTTAATAAAGCATAAGAAGTCATCTGAAGACCATACCTTGAAAATGTTAGTGGTTAGAAAGTAGTGGCTAGAAGCAGACAGACTTAATTGTGTGCCAACACCTCCATTTCCTAGCTGTGTGACTTGGAGCAAGTTACTAATTCACAGCTTCACAGAATAAAATGCTAATAAATTCTACCTCACAAGATTGTCATAGGGTAACTGAAAGATAGGGCATGACATGTAGTACATATTGAATATTTTCTCATTTAAAAAAGCACTCTTATTAGAGCTGGGAACCAAGCAAAGCCTAATGATAGGTGTTAGGAAAATTATAGGATTATGTTTCCTCCCTCATTCTGATTGGTAAAATTAAGAGCATCATGTACTTCTGAAAAATTAACAAAATTTTCACAGTTTGTTAATTTTTAATTTTAATGCTATAAACATTATATCAAGGAAATTTAATCTTTGCAAGGGGCTTCATAAAGCAAATAGAGAGCTCATATAACTTTGATTTCTGAAAATGACAAAATAAGGAGAAGTAAATATATAGCTAAAAGTATAAGTATGGATTCTGTAGGACATCATCTAATGAGATCTGGTGGATATGGAGATTTGAATCATCCTTCATAAGTTCTAAAATTACAGTATTTTCCAAAATAGTGTTTGAAACTATTTATGCTTTTTATGTAGGCATTTATTGCTATAAACTTGCCTCTTAATACTACTTTTTTTGTATACCACAAGTTTTGGTATCTTGTTTCTGTTTTCATTTGTTTCAACAGGGATTTCCACTTTTGCTTCTTCCTCATTTTCTCTTGCTTCCACCATGTAAGAAGTGCCTCTCTCTGCCTGCCATGATTCTGAGTTCTCCCCAGCCATGTGGAACTGTAAGTCCAATTAAACCTTTTTATTTTCTTCCCAGTCTCGGGTATGTCTTCATCAGCAGCGTGAACACAGACTAATACACACTCATAATTTCTCTTCATATTCCTAAAGTTGTCAAGTACTCAACAAAAGCAAGCAAGAGGACTAAATTTGCAAAAATATTTAACCTACTGCCCAAACTATTTAAGCTCTTAACTATAAAATACCCAAAAGGTTAAATTAGTCAAATATATGACTCATAGTTTTGGAAAAGTAAAATGAAATATATGCAAATTTATGTAAAAAGAATTCAGGCACATTGTATTATTCCAAATATAGAAGCAATTTGCATATCTTTATTAATAGCAAAGGCAAATATTGGAACTGAGCTGGGAATTTCAAAAAAAAACTGGAAGTAAAATTAGTGCAGTCCATGGTTTGTAAATTATATGAGAGCATTATAAATTAAGTCCACATAGCCCCTTACTGCATGGGGATTTCAGAATAAGAAGTCTATTCTGACATATTTTAACGTAATTTCCTGGTCAGAAGGCTAGGAAAAGATCTTATTTCAAAAATTGGAGACTTGAAAGTTCTGAAACAAGATAACTATTTCAGTAGAATACATTTTATTTGATCAATGCACTCTGATTTTCTAATAAGAATTTCCTACATATAATTGTTTAAAATAGCGAGATCTCAGTTATTCTTTCTTTTTGTTGGTACTTCTGAGACTTTTCCTCTTCCTTCTTCCTAAATCTCTCGCCCTGTTTCTGGATTTCATGCTTTCACACTATAACCCTACTAACACCTGCTTGTTGCAGTCCTTTAACATCTCTAAGTCAATCCCCCTTATTCATTAAAAATTTTAGTTCATGGCTTACTGCCATCCTCTTCAAATTCATCCTATCATAATTTATGGTGATTTACATCTTTTTACAGACTATCCTGCACCTTGGCCTCACCTCCCATGACCTTGTCTCCCTCAGGGATCTTGTCATCCATCCTACATCACCCATTTACTTCCATCAGCCTACCTTTGTGGTGGACCAGATAGCCTAGATTATGCTGTGGTAATAAAGACCATCAAACTCTCAGTGGCTTAACATAAGAAAAGTTCACTTCTCACCCTTGCAAAATACCCTGTCAATCTATGAATTTCTCCAGGGTAACTGTCTCTACATCATTGCTAAATATTCAAGGATAAGTTAATTGGGCCAGCTGTGGTGACTCATGCCTGTAATCCCAGCACTTTGGGAGGCTGAGGTGGATGGATCACCTGAGGTCAGGAGTTTGAGGCCAGCCTGGCCAACATTGTGAAACACCATATCTACTAAAAATACAAAAAATAGCCAGGCATGGTGGCAGGTACCTGTAGTTCCAGCTACTCAGGAGGCTGAGTCAGGAGAATTGCTTGAACCCAGGAGACAGAGGCTGCAGTGAGCCATGATCGTGGCACTGCACTCCAGCGCCGGGGTGACAAGAGCAAGACTCCATCTCAAAAAAAAAAAAAAGGATGAGTTAATTGGGTAAATGGTTAACCTTGCCTTGTTACTAAGTTCTGCTCATCTTTGAGCTAGGGCTACCACTTACTATAGGTCACAGAAGACTTTGGATATTTTATTTGTTACATTATTTATGACCATTTCAATATATCCACAACTACCTTTTGAGAAAGAGCATAAAGGATGGAGGAAGCTATTTTCTAAATGATTCATGTGGAAGCAACTCATATGCTTTCATTTCTTTGACCAATGTAAGTTACATGATCATACCTAAACTCAAGGTATGTAAATGTGGAATCTTCCAATATGGCAGGGAAGGAGAGGAAACAAGGAATATTAGTGAGCACTAATGTCTACCACACACTTGAATTTGTTTTTCCTAATAACTACATTTCATCTTAAATTTCATTTTCATGTATTTCATCCTCTGACACGTTTTCATCTTCCCAGCTCACTCTCTATAGTACAATTGCAACAATTCTTCAACCCCATCAGGGCCTACCATCTATTACTCTAACTACTTTTTCACTATCACTCATACTGCTTGAGTATATGTAATTTCTTAGCCCTGCTAGATTCAAGAATTCAGAATCATATTAAATTACATAAAGACATATGCATCTTTTATTCCATCCATATCTTTTATTGCACTTTCTTTATTGTGCCTTCATGGGAAAAGAAAACAGACTGATTAAGTTCAACTCTCAACGTACTCTGAATTTGCATATGTAGAGAGACTAGAACTGACAGATTTATTGCTAAATGTGCTAACATTAACCTCATAGTGCTTAGAGATACCCATCATTACTACTTTCCTATAGTTTATTTATTCTTCTATTTTAAGCCAACCACTTCAAAATTTCTTCTCAAGCCTTCACTACCTTCTTTCCAGTCTTCTTTTCCAACAGGTAAGCCTCCAAATATTTAGCTTGCTTTTATTACATTTGTAAAACATATTTTTTACACATGAGTATATAAAGCAGATGAGATGTTCATTGAAGGAATGGGAGCCATCTGAAAAGAAATTACCTTAGCTCTCACCAAAACCTCTCTCCACCTCTCTGCACCTGTGTTCATATAATCTTCCTTTCCTTGTTTACCACCGAGAAGCTCCCTATGCCCCTTTCTGAGAACGTATCTTTCACTTGTTCTTTAAATCTCCTTTCTTATTTGTTCAAGAACTTGTATCCTTTTCCACTTTCATAACTCTCCATCTTCTGCCAACTACTGCCCCAGTGGTTGGTATTGTTAGTCTTTCTTTATTGTTTCTTTTAAAATCAAACTTCTCCATATGGTTAGTTATACCTATTTAATCTTATTTCACTCTTTCTCTCCTGAGCATATTGCAATTAAGCTTTAATCCCTTGTCCACCAAAACTACTTCTAATGATCTTCATGCTGCAAAATACAGTATTTATTACTCAGTTCCTGTTTATAGGAGAATTGTCTATAGCACTGACATAGATCACTCCATCTTTCTGGAACACTTTTCATACGGCTTGCAGAATATCATACTTCTCATTACTGCCTTTCTCAGTAGTCATTCTTCATTCTTCGATTATGCTGATTCCTTCACATCTTCCCAACTTTCAAGTGATGGAGAGTCCCCAGGTACCTTTTCCCTTTGTTTTTACTCTACCTATGGCCTCTTCCTTGGTAATCTTATGCGTTCTCATGGGTTTTGTCAAGATAAAAGAAGAAACAGGAAAAATTAATATAAGTGCAGAGCTTATTTGGGACAAGATGAGGACATCTACCCAGAAGACTAGAAGGGTCAGCATATGAACTTCATTTGGCCTTTGTTACAAGCAGGTTTTTAAAGGCAAATAGGAGGACAGGAAATGGGTTGATAGTTGTTTGTCAGGAATTCTCATTGATTTACAGAAATGACATTGATTAGTGATTGGCTATACATTGTTGGAACATAGGGCATGGGTTATGGTGTACAACATGCAGCATTATTAGATAAATTTATAGCTACTTGTGGTAACAGTCAGTCTAGAGTCCACATAATAAGCAGCTTGAAGAGATGATTACTTAGCTCAAGGGAGGAAGTGGGATATGACTGCTGCCTCATTCCTATGCCTCTTAGGGCCTGATAATTTAGAGGAGGCTCACATTCCTTAGATAAAATGTCCTTTTCTTTCTCAGTTCAAATACAACCTACACACTGATGTTCCAAGTTATATTTCCAACCCAGACCTCTTCTCTGAACTCTAGGCTTATTATAAAACAAACTACCACCTTGACAATTTCTACAAGTCCAAAAACTGAACATTTAATCTCTATTCCAGATATGTCCAACTTCCCATTTTCTTTATCTCAGTACATGAGAACTCCACCTCATCAAGTTAACAGGCTAAAAAATAATTTGAAATCACTTGACTATTCTCTTTGTCTTATATACTATATCCAACATGTCAAAATAGCCTGTTTTCTCTTCCTAAAAACGACATTAAAGATCTCTTTCTTACCACTTCAACCAGTATTATTCTGACCCAAGTCTTTCTTAACCAAATCATTGTAATAGTCTCCTAATTTATCTCACTGGTTCCTTTTTGTCAACTGACAACTTACTGTCAACATGTAAAACAGAGTGACCCACTTAAAATATAAGTCATTTAATGTAACTCCTCTGCTCCAAAGCCCTCTCATCTCTTCAGTGGCTTCTCATCTCACTTAAAGTAAGACTTAATGTCTTTACAATGTCCTGCCAGTTCACCTGATTTATCTGACTCATCTTGCACGTTCCCCGACTCTTCACACTGCTTCAGCTGTACTGGCTTCCTTGATGTTTCTAGAAAACACTAGGCTGTCTCCCATCTAGGTGCCTGGGTGCTTGTATTATGCATATCCACATGCCTGACACCTTTACCTTTCTCAAGGTTTTGCTCAAATATTACATTTCTAAAGTTGCTGTTCCCACTAATTATTTTTTTCATTTGAAATATTGCTTCCCAACTAACAATGACTCTCACTAAACAGTACTCCCATTTCCCCTTCCCTGCTGTATTTTACTTCATAGTGGTTATTACCACTTGAAATGCTAATTGTTATTTGTTTGACTGTTCTAATCACTCTGTTTTCCAACAATAACATAAGCTCCATGATGGCAGAGATTTTTACCAGTTGTGTTCTCTGACATATCTTTAGTGTCTATAAAAGAACCTGGCGGCCGGGCGCGGTGGCTCAGGCCTGTAATCCCAGCACTTTGGGAGGCCGAGGCGGGCGGATCACGAGGTCAGGAGATCGAAACCATCCTGGCTAACACGGTGAAACCCCGTCTCTACTAAAAATACAAAAAAATTAGCTGGGCATCGTGGCGGGCGCCTGTCGTCCCAGCTACTCGGGAGGCTGAGGCAGGAGAATGGCGTGAACCCAGGAGGCGGAGCTTGCAGTGAGCCCAGACAGCGCCACTGCACTCCAGCTGGGCGACAGAGAGAGACTCTGTCTCAAAAGAAAAAAAAAAAAAAAAAAAAAAGAACCTGGCATAGAGCTGATACTTCACAAATATTTGTTTATGAATTAATATTAATAGGAGTCCTTGGTGAAGAGTCCTAAGACTGGGAAGAAGTAGATTCTGTCTGAGAAGCAAAAAGCATGAGTATTCTGCCATTCCCAATGTTAAGGCATTTGGAGTTGAAATAGGAAGATGCAAAGAGTTTGATTCAGCCCAACCAACAGGTATCAAATTGCTCCTGTGTTCTGGGTTTGTGTTAGGCAAAATGATAACAGTAGTCTAAATCTAAACTAAAATAGAAAATTTAACAACTTGTTTTTAAATTACAGCAGAGTCAGAAGTGGTAAGCTGGCTGGGTGCGGTGGCTCACACCTGCAATCCCAGCACTTTGGGAGGCCAAGGCAGGAGGCTTACCTGAGGTCAGGAGTTCGGGACCAACAGGGTGAAACCCTGTCTCTGCTAAAAATACAAAAATTAGCCGGACATGGTGGCATGCACCTGTAATCCCAGCTACTGGGGAGGCTGAGGCAGGAGAATCCCTTGAACCCGGGAGGTGTAGGTTGCAGTGACTGAGATCGCACCACTGCACTCCAGCCTGAGCAAGAGAGCAGGACTCCATCATAAAAAAAAAAAAAAAAAAAAGAGAGAGAGAGAGAGAAAAGAAAGAAGAAGAAGCGATAAACTGATGTAGTGGTTGCTATGGTTATATATGGTTATATTAGTGCCAATAAAAACAAGAAGAGAACAGAAATCAGAATCTTCCTGCAAGTCAGAGAGCGGACATGTCCTCTGTAGAAACATTTCTCATCTGTTTAACAAGAAGAGACTATCTGAATAAATACAAGTTTAGGTTTTAAAAATATTACCATAAAACCTGTGGTATAGATAATGCTTTTGTTCCCTCAAATTTCATATGTTGAAACCTAATTCCAAATGTGATGGTATTTGGAGATGGGACACCTGGGAGGTGATTAGGTCATGAGGGCAAATTAATTCCCTCCTGGAAGAGGCCCCAGAGAGTTCCCTGGTCATTTCCACCATGTGAAGACACAGCAAAAAGGTGATGGCTGTCTATAACCAGGAAGTGAGTCCTCACCAAACACCAGATCTGCCAGAATCTTGATTTTGGATTTAGCCTCCAGAACTGTGAGAAGTAAAGGTTTGTTATTGTTTATGGTGTTCTTGTGGTAATAGCCCAAGTGGGCTGAGACACCTGGTTTGGACAGAAAAGAAATATATTTTTTTGTTTTCTCTCGAGGATTTAAATATATTTCTTTTTAGCCCAAAAGATACAACACAGAATAATAAAGTATGTAAGTATATAAAAACAAGGTACAATCAACTTTTCTAGATGCCTACAAATATGATCCTAGAAAATTAAGAAGAAAAACAATACTTGAAAGACTAATTTTATCATACATGTGATATGCTATAACATGAAGATTCACAGAGCAGGGTAAACCAGATTTGCCAAAAAAAAAAAAAAAAAAAAAAAAAATCCACCAAAAAGCCAAAACAAAACAAAAAATAAACTTTTAAGATATTGTTTTTACACAGAGGCTTTTGAAAAATACCCTCTTCTGATGTTTCTATTGATGATTAGCTATCTTGGCCTGGATGCTAAAGTGTAGCTACAGAGAAGAAAATTGGTGAAGCGGTGCTATATAATTGTTTTCACTTCTCATGTTGACAGCATGAAATTTGTCTGGCTACAATATTACAACCATAATCCCTAAGTATATAGAGTAATTTTTTAATGAGTATCCCAATTTGCTGGGTACATCTATGGATTTTTCCAATAATAGGGGGTTAAGAACTTCGTTGTCTATTCCCAACCATTCTAACCATTCCTTTAAAATTAATGGTAAGTAATATCTAAGACTTCTTGCTTAAACAACAGTTACAATATAGGGAGAAAAACCTGCTTGTATTTTAATTTACTCATTGAAACTTGAGAGATGGAGATTGAATTGTTCTTCACTAAGAATAAAAAACCTGCAAAGTAATTATATCTATGAATGTTACAGGAGAACAGTTACAGTGGCTTTTTATCCCCAGCTCCTACCAGAAGAAATCTTTACAAATTCAGTCTCAGCTCTGCCACTATCTACTTGTATGTTGATAGACAGTTATCTTTTTCTTTGACTGCTGTAGATTTTTAGTCTATTAGGTAAGGTAATCTTTAAGACAACTCCCAGCTCATAAATTCTGGGATCCTGTAACTTGCAAATTAGAAGTCCCTGATCAGTGCAGACATCCCTTAAGGCATGTGATATGTCTGAGAGCAGCTGCCTCCATACTAATGAGTACAGATATTGTGGGCTGACTCCCATCTGAAATTCAGCAGGCCCACTCTCCAACAGAGCCATATCTAAATGGCTATTGGTTTGCATTTCTCACTAGCTCCCCTTTCCAAGTCTTGAGCACTTAAGTCAGGATAAGATCTATCAAACTTCACCGTTAGTGACTATTCTTTTATCATGGGGTGACTAGAGAATCCCCAGGCCATGACAAAAAAGGCAGCCTTGTCAGCCAAAGCCTGATGTTGTCCTAAACTGCAGCAACTTTATCCTCCTTCCCTGTGACAAAGTAGTCAATGAAAAATGCCTCTATTTTGTTTCTTCTTGTCAGCTCTTTTCTCTCATCATATTTATTACTTTAGATGTGCCACCTGGTGTCAAGAGAGGTATTGGAAGAAAATCAAGATCCTGATTAAGTAAATTCTGTCAAATTAGACAGAATCACAGCAGACATTCAGTTCAGCAGAGAACATTAATATGGCTATGTGCATGCCAGGGATCTGGGAGAAGCACATTCTGTCAGCTCTATTCTCAAAACATATCCATAACTTGATCATTTCTCGCTACCTGACTGATACCACAGTAATCCAGCCTCTGCTAGCTCTCAAGCTCTCACCTAGAAGGCTGCAGGGGTCCTAATGGTCACTCTATTTCTACTCTTGCTCTGCTTCTCTGCACAGCGTGCATAATTAGTTTTTAAAATATAATGCAGACCAGCCAGGTGCTGTGGCTCACGTCTGTAATCCCAGCACTTTGGGAGGCCGAGGCTGGCGGATCACGAGGTCAGGAGTTTGAGACCAGCCTGGCCAACATGGTGAAACCCTGTCTCTATTAAAGATACAAAAAAATTGGTGAAATCTTGTCTCTACTAAAAATACAAAAATTAGCTAGGTGTGGTGGCACGTGCCTGTAATCCCAGTTACTTGGGAGGCTGAGTCAGGAGAATCACTTGAACCAGGGAGTCAAAGGTTGCAGTGAACTGAGATCACGCCACTGCACTCCAGCCTGGTGGCAGAGGGAGACTTCATCTCAAAAAAAAAAAAAAAAAAAAGAGAGAGAGAGAGAGATACAAAATATTAGTTGGGCGTGGTCGTGGGTGCCTGTAATTCCAGCTACTCAGGAGGCTGAGGCAGGAGAATCGCTTGAACCCAGGAGGCTGAGCTGAGGTTGTAGTGAGCCAAGATCATACCAATGCACTCCAGCCTGGGCAACAGAGCGAGACTCCATCTCAAAAAATAAATAAATAAAAATAAAATAAGTAGAATAAAATATGACCCAGACCATTATGTTCTCTTGTTCAGTATCCCCATGTGACTTCCTGACACTCTCAGAATAAAATCCAAACTCCTCACCATGAACTGTAGATCCCATAAGACCTGGGCTTTGGCTTTCTTTCAAATATTCATTTTTTCTACCTTCCTATTCCTTATCTTCTTTGCTCTAATTATCACAGCCTTCTCACTATGCCATGCATATACTCAGTGCTCTCTACTCGGGGCTTTTGTCTCAAGGCTTTCCTCTTTCCAGGAGAATTATTTTTTCAGTTGTTTACTTGGCATTCTGTCTCACTTTATTGAGGTCTATGTTCAAACATCACCTTATCATTCATGTTTTTTAGACCAGGTATCTAATATAAAACCTCTTCATTCTGTCTAATTCCCTGACTTTATTTTTTTCAGAGCAATACCTAACATCATATTTTATATTTTTGTTTATTTGCTCAGGTCCCTTCCACTTGAATAACAACATATTGAAGGAGGGGCTTTTATGATTTGTCACTGCATCCCCAGTGCTCAGAGCAGTGTCTGACACATATTAAACACTGAAGCAATATATATTGAAATAAAAAAAGGATCCATTATTTGTACCTTAGTATCATTTAAGAATATCAGAATCATAAGTAACTTAGCAATATATATTGAAATAAAAAAAGGATCCATTATTTGTACCTTAGTATCATTTAAGAATATCAGAATCATCAGTAACTTAGCAATATTGCCCCATTAGCCTAAATTGGAGATCTGAAAACAATGGCTCAACAGTCGAGTTCAGCCTGCCTGAATATTTTGGAAATAAAATTTTATTGTAACACAGTCATTCTTATTTATGTATCTGTTGCCTATGACCCCTTTTAGGCTATGCCAAGAGATTGTATAGCCTGCAAAGCACAAAATACTATCTGGCCCTTTACAGAAAATATTTTATAAACCTTGGCCTAAATTGTAAAAATTTGGCTTAATTTTTTCTGTTTACTTTTCCTTTGGCATCAGGATGAATAGTTGACTGTTTTTCTAGTCACCTCAAAACAAAGCTGGAGTTAACAGAGACTGATATTAACTTTGGAAAAGGAAAACAGTTACTCAAGAAGAGCTCAGCATGAATTGTTCAGCATCAGAACCAGCCAGGCAATTACAGATGTTTCCTTTCTTCATTTCTTTCTATCATTTAACTAGGCTTTCTTTCAGATATAATGGTGATTTACAAAGAAGAAAACCTTAGGGTATTCTTTGTTCCCATGATTGGAAATGATTTAAAGCAATGGTGTTTAAATAAGATGATTTTGTTTAATTTTAACTTTTCCTTCACTTTTTTGCCCAAACTATCCCTTTTCATATCTACTTGCAGTAGATGTTTCATAAAGACTTCTTTCCCTTGGAAAATTTTTGCCTTTACTAGATAGATGGGCATGATACCGAAATGGAGAGGAAGAATCACTTCTGCCCAAATTCATTGTATTGCATTGTCAGTCACCAACTGGGATGAATTTTCTGATACAAAAATTTCCCATCAGGTAATCTAGGCAGGATATATAATTCTTATTGACTAGTTTTCTGTGGTACTCAGAAATTTCAAAGAACATATTTGATATTTGTCCTACTTGTATGATATAAAATAATGGAAATAATCACACATAACTCTAACCTGAAGCAAATAGCTCAGCCTCAGGCTCAGACAAACCTGGGTTAAAAGCTTTGCTTGGCTGGTTGCTATTGTCAGAGACTCTGAGACTATTGCTTGCCTTTTTTATGGTGGATAATGCAGCCTACACATAGGCAGAGTGAAAATTAAGGCCATTTAATACATTGTTGGAATACAACAGATGAGAAATCCCTCCTCAGTTATATATAAATGTCTTAAGTCCCGTTCATGCAAGTTTCCGTGAATTATTAAGGAAAAGTAATGCAGCAGATGCTTTCAATGCTTCACCCACAGATCCTTGGCATTTACTACTCTCAGACACATCACTGGCTTCTTACTGCAAGTACTTGCAGATCTCAAAGTGACTCCTTTCTATAGCTAAGGGAGCTGCTTAGTTTTTGTGCAGGTCAGGACAGAGGTACTGAAAAGTTAGCTTCCACAGGAGCAGTGGTGTGCTGGAGCTGTGTAAAGCAGTATGCAAGTTCTGATTGTTAAATTTTCAAAAATCTGGCAAACTGATTCTTAAATAGCATCATTATTAAAAATTAAATTATGTAATATAATAATCAAATGAAACACATGAAAAATAAGAGTAAAATATGCTCAAAACTCATCACTCCCCAGTCATTTTGCAATTTAGTCTTATTTCTGTGTTTCTGAAGTTTTTTTAATGTGTTTTTGTATCTGTAGGATAGAGATTCCATATAATGGTGTGGTACTGTACATCTCTTCCCAATTCCGCACTCAGCAATGTAATATTAGAACTTGAAATTGGCCATGGTGAGAGTATGTCCACCAAAGAAATTGGTAAAGGCTACAAATCAGGGCTATTTGTTCAGAGAGCTGATTGTTAAATATTTACCAGCACACCACTGACCAACATTCAACAAAAAGACAAAGGAGAGTTAGTAGATAAATACCTAAGCATTCTCACCTCTGTGGCTGAGACAAATCAAAAGTGTGTTTTATACTGTTTGCTAGAGGTCCCTGAAGAGGATTGAGTTCCAGGTGTTTACAATGGTGACAAATACAATAATGAAGGTGGGAACTGGCAATGCTAAAACCTCAGTGTTGGTTGCTGTTCATGAGTTAGGCTTCATAATAAAAGATACTGCTATGGAATTGGAATCTCTAGTGTCATTTGGCAATGATAGGATTCAAGAACAGCAGCAACCAGGTGACAGTAATTAATCATCAGAGACAAGGAGTAAATAATTACCGTAATACACAGCAAGGCTAAAAGGCAACCTGGGAGGCTTGACATGTAGAAATCTGGTGTAAATGGGTATTAGAACATAGGGTGAAATAATTGAGGATCCAAATAGATTGTTGCTGGGTATCTATATCTATCTATCTATCTATCTATCTATCTATCTATCTATCTATCTATCTATCTATCTACCCATCCATCTATCTGTATGGAAGTACAGCTAAGGAGAAACCTAATACAAGCCATCACTCAGTTTTCAAAACTGAATCAGTTCTATGACTCAGTGACAACAGATTTAAAGCAGTCTCTTTAGCAAAATCAAAAGGTTCTTCTGAAAAAGGAACCTCCAGGTTTTGGTATCAGGATGATGCTGGCCTCATAAAATGAGTTAGGGAGGAGTCCCTCTTTTTCTATTGTTTGAAATAGTTTCAGAAGGAATGGTACTAGCTCCTCTTTCTACCTCTGGTAGAATTCGGCTGAGAATCTGTCTGGTCCTGGGCTTTTTTTGGTTGCTAGGCTATTAATTACTGCCTCAATTTCAGAACTTGTTATTGGTCTATTCAGGAATTTGACTTCTTCCTGATTTATCTTGGGAGGGTGTATGTGTTCAGGAATTTATCCATTTCTTCTAGATTTTCTAGTTTATTTGCGTAAAGATGTTTATAGTATTCTCTGATGGTAGTTTGTATTTCTGTGGGATCAGTGGTGATATCCCCTTTATAATTTTTTATTTGTCTATTTGATTCTTCTCTCTTTTCTTTATTATTAGTCTGGCTAGCAGTCTATCTATTTTGTTAATCTTTTCAAAAAACCAGCTCCTGGATTCATTGCTTTTTGAAGGGTTTTTCATGTTGCTATCTCCTTCAGTTCTGCTCTGATCTTAGTTATTTCTTGTCTTCTGCTAGCTTTTGAATTTGCTTGCTCTTGCTTCTCTAGTTCTTTTAATTGTGATGTTAGGGTGTCAATTTTAGATCTTTCCTGTTTTCTCCTGCAGGCACTTAGTGCTATAAATTTCCCTGTAAACATTACTTTAGTTGTATCCCAGAGATTCTGGTATGTTGTGTCTTTGTTCTCATTGGTTTTAAAAAACTTATTTCTGTCTTAATTTCATTATTTACCCAGTAGTCATTCAGGAACAGGTTGTTCAGTTTCCATGTAGTTGCGCAGTTTTGAGTGAGTTTCTTATCTTGAGTTCTAATTTGATTGCATTGTGGTCTGACAGACTTTTTTTTATGATTTCTGTTCTTTTGCATTTGCTGAAAAGTGTTTTATTTCCACTTATGTGGTCAAGTTTAGAATAAGTGTGATGCAGTGTTGAGAAGAATATATATTCTGTTGATTTGGGGTGGAGAGTTCTGTAGATATCTGTTAGGTCTGTTTGGTCCAGAGCTGAGTTCAAGTTCTGAATATCCTTGTTTATTTTTTGTCTCATTGATCTGTCTAATATTGACAGTGGGGTGTTAGAGTCTCCCACTGTTATTGTGTGGGAGTCTAAGCCTCTTTGTAGGTCTCTAAGAACTTGCTTCATGAATCTGGGTGCTCCTATATAGGGTGCACATATATTTAGAGTAGTTAGCTCTTCTTGTTGTGTTGATCCCTTTACCTTTATGTAATACCGTTCTTTGTCTTTTTTTGATCTTTGTTGGTTTAAGGTCTCTTCTATCAGAGACTAGGATTGCAACCCCTGATTTTTTTTCTTATTTCCATTTGCTTGGTAATATTTCTCCATCCCTGGCAGAGACACAACAACAACAACAACAACAACAACAACAACAATTCAGGCCAATATCTCTGATGAACATCAATGTGAAAATCCTCAATAAAATACTGGCAAACCGAATCCAGCAGCATATCAAAAAAATTATCCACCACGATCAAGTCGGCTTCATCCCTGGAATGCAAGGTTGGTTCAACATACACAAATCAATAAATGTAATCCATCACATAAACAGAACCAATGACAAAAACTACATGATTATCTCAATAGATTTAGAAAAGGCCTTTGATAAAATTCAACACCTCTTCATGCTAAAAACTCTCAATAAACTAGGTATTGATGGAACGTATCTCAAAATAGTAAGAGCTATTTATGACAAACCCACAGCCAATATCATACTGAATGGACAAAAGCTGGAAGCATTCCCATTGAAAACTGGCACAAGACAAGGATGCCCTCTCTCACCACTCCTATTCGACATGGTATTGGAAGTTCTGGCCAGGGCAATCAGGCAAGAGAAAAAAATAAAAGGTATTCAAATAGGAAGAGAAGACGTCAAATTCTCTCTGTTTGCAGATGACATGATTGTATATTTAGAAAATCCCATCATCTCAGCCCAAAAACTCCTTAATCTGATAAGCAACTTAACAGTCTCAGGATAAAAAAATAGTGTGCAAAAATCACAAGCATTCCTATACACTAATAACAGACAAACAGACAGCCAATCATAAGTGAACTCCCATTCACAATTGCTACAAAGAGAATAAAATAACTAGGAATACAAATTACAAGGGATGTGAAGGACCTCTTCAAGGAGAACTATAAACCATTGCTGAAGGAAATAAAAAAAGGACATAAGCAAATGGAAAAACATTCCATGCTCATGGATAGGAAGAATCAATACCATGAAAATGGCCATACTGCCCAAAGTAATATATAGATTCAATGCTATCCCCATCAAGATACCATTGACTTTTTTCACAGAATTAGAATTAGAAAAAAAACCTACTTTAAATTTCATATGGAACCAATAAAGAGCCCATATAGCCAAGACAATCCTAAGCAAAAAGAACAAACTTGGAGGCATCACGCTCCTGACTTCAAACTATGCTAGAAGGCCACAGTAACCAAAACAGCATGGTACTGGTACCAAAACAGGTATATAGAACAATGGAAAAGAACAGAGGCCTCAGAAATAATGCCACACATCTACAACCATCTGATATTTCACAAACCTGACAAAAAACAGCAATGGGGAAAGGATTCCCTATTTAATACATGGTGCTGGGAAAACTGGCTAGCCATATGCAGAAAACTGAAACAGGACCCCTTCCTTACACATTATACAAAAATCAAGATGGATTAAGGACTTAAACCTAAGACCTAAAAACCATAAAGCCCTAGAAGAAAACCTAGGGAATAACACTCATGACATAGGAATGGGCAAAGGCATCATGACTAAAACACCAAAAGCAATGGCAACAAAATCCTAAATTGACAAATGGGATCTAATTAAACGAAAGAGCTTCTGCATAGCGAAAGAAACTATCATCAGAGTGAACAGACAACCTACAGAATGGGAGAAAAATTTTGCAAACTTTTCATCTGACAAAGGGCTAATAGCTAGAATCTACAGGGAACTTAAACAAATTTACAAGAAAAAAACAAACAACCCCATCAAAAAGTGGGCAAAGGATATGAACAGACTCTTCTCAAAAGAAGACATTTATGCAGCCAACAAACATATTAAAAAAAGCTCATTATCACTGGGCATTAGAGAAATACAAATCAAAACCACAATGAGAAACTATCTCATGCCAGTCAGAATGGAGATCATTAAAAAGTCAGGAAACAACAGATGCTGGAGAGGATGTGGAGAAATAGGAACACTTTTACACTGTTGGTGGGAGTGTAAATTAGTTCATCTGTTGTGGAAGACAGTGTGGTGATTCTTCAAGGATTTAGAACCAAAAATACCATTTGACCTAGCAATCCCATTACTGGGTAGATACCCAAAGGATTATAAATCATTCTACTATAAAGACACATGCACACGTATGTTTATTGCAGCACTATTCATAATAGCAAAGACTTGGAACCAACCCAAATGCCCATCAATGATAGACTGGATTTAAAAAATGTGGCATATATACACCATGGAGTACTATGCATCTATAAAAAAGTATGAGTTCATGTCCTTTGCAGGGACATGGATGAAGCTGGAAAACATCATTTTCAGCAAACTAACACAGGAACAGTAAACCAAACACTACCTATCATCATTCATAAGTGGGAGATGAACAATGAAAACTCATGGGCACAGGGAGGGGAACATCACACACCGGGCCTATTGGGGGGTGGGAGGATAGGGGAGGGATAGCATTAAGAGAAATCTAATGTAGATGATAGGTTTATGGATGCAGCAGACCACCACGGCACGTGTATATCTATGTAACGAACATGCACGTTCTGCACATCTAACCCAGAACTTAAAGTGTAATTTAAAAAAAGAAAAGAAAGAAAAAGGAACCTCCAACACCAGAAGCAAGAATATACCATACCTGCCTCACCAATCATTCCTCAAAAGAATCTTTGGCCATTTCAAGATAAATTATGTGGGGAAAAGGGTGATACCAAGATGTTTCAAGGACTCCTGATATATTGATATGGTGTCTCAAGCTTATCTTGCTCTAGGTCATGCAAAGCACCACAATAAACCTCACTAGAAAAGCAGAGGCAAGAGATAAATGAAACGTTAGCCCACTTCTTTTATACAATGGCCCCAGTGGGTCACCCTGTAGTTATTTCTCTAATTCCTGAGTGCATAATTGGGGCAGATATTCTTAAGTGCTGGCAGAAACCTAAGATTGGTTCACTAAACTGTGGTGTAAAAGGCATCATAATAAAGCCAAGTAGAAGCCCCTGAATTGACACATGACCACACTGAATCAAGTTAGAACATCAGAAGCAGTACCACATTCCTTGTAGAATGATGTTTAAGAACATCCCTCAAAAACTTCAGATAACTGTTTATTTCTTTCTCTTGGCTAATTGCTCTGACCAGAACTTTCAGTATGAGGTTACATAATGGCGGTAAAAGTGGTCATCTTTTTCTTGTTCTAGTCCTTAGAGGATAGGACTTCAGTTTTTTTTTTTCCCATTTTTTTTCCCCAGTATAGTGTCAGCTTTGGGTTTGTCATCTATGACCTTTATTATGTTGAAGTATGTTCCTTCTATACCCATTTTAATGAGGGTTTTTACCATAAAGAGATGTTGAATTTTATCAAACACTTTTTTGACATCTGTTGAAAGAATCACATGGCTTTTTTTCTTGATTCTGTAAATGTAATGTACTACATTTATTGATTAGCATATGTTGAACCATCCTTGCATCCTGGGATGAATCCTACTTGCTCATGGTGAATAATATTTTTAATGTGTTGTTGAATTTGGTTGCAAGCATTTTGTTGAGAATTTTTGGATCTATGTTCAACAATGATATTGGCCTGTCGTTTTCTTTGTTGTGGCGTCTCTGTCTTCTTTTGTTATCAAGGTAATGCTGGCCACATAGGATGAGTTTGGAAGTATTTCTTCCTCTTTAATTTTTTTGAAGAGTTTCAGTAAAGTTTGTATTCTTTAATTGTTTGGTAGATTTCGTCAGGGAACCTATCAGGTTTTGGGGTTTTCTTTTTCTTTTTTTTTTTTTTTTGATGGGTTTTTTTTTATGGTTTCTATGTTACACATTATTTCTCTGTTAAGGTTTTCACATTTGGTATGTCATATTTCCATTTTCACTTATTTCAATTTTTTTATATTTTTAAAAAAATTTATTCATTAATCCATTGGTCAATCAGGAGCATGCTGTTTAATTTCCATGTGTTTATGTATTTTCTGAGGTTCCTCTTGTTATTGATTTCTAGTTTTATTCCACTGTTTTCAGAAAAGTTACTCCTATGCTCTTGAATTGAAAGAATTAATATTGTTAAAAATGACAATGCTACCCAAAGCAATTTATAGATTCAGTGCAATCACTATCAAAATACCAATGCCATTCTTCATAGAAATAGAAAAAGAAATTCTAAAATTTATTTGAAACCACAAAACAGCCCAAATAGCTAAAGAAATCCTGAGTAAAGCTAGATATATCACACTACCTGATATCAAAATTTACTATAAAGCTATAATAGCCAAAACAACATTGTACTGGCATAAAAACAGACACATGGACCAATAGAACATAGTTGAGAATCCAGATATAAATCTATAGATTTACAACCAACTCATCTTCAATAAAAGTGCCAAGAAAATACAATGGGTAAAGGACAGTCTTTTCATAAATGGTTCTGAGCAAACTGGGTGACTATATGAAGAAGAATAAAACTAGACCCCTATCTCTCACTTTATTAAAAAAAATCAAAATGTATTAAAGTCTTAAATTTAAGACCTGAAACTACGAAACTACTAGAAGAAAACATTGAGAAAATGCTCCAGGATATTAGTTTGGACAAAGAATTTTGTGTATGACCAAAAAAGTACAGGCAAGCAAAGCAAAAATAGACAATTGGGATAACATCAAGAGGAAACAAGCAACAAAATGAAGAGACAGAAAATATTTGCAAACTATCCATCTGGCAAGGAATGTAGAACCAGAATATATAAGGAGCTCAAACAACTCAATAGGAAAAAAACATAATCCAATTAAAAAATGAGAAAAATATCTGGACAGACATTTCTCAAAAGAAGATATACAAATGGCCAACAGGTATATAAAAAAGTTCAACATAACTAATCATCAGAGAAATGCAAATTAAAATGACAATGTGATATCATCTCACCCCATTTAGAATGGCTGTATCAAAAAGATAAGACAATAATGTATGCTGGAAAGGATGTGCAAAAAGGGGAACCCTCATACCTGTTGATGAGAATGTATTTATAAATTAGTACAACCACTATGGAGAATAGTATTGTTCCTTAAACAACTAAAAACAGAGCTACCACATGATTCATCAATCCCACAACTAGGTATATATACAAAATAAATAAAACAAATATATTAAAGAGATATGTACACTATGATGTATTACAGCTGTCTTCACAATAACCAAAATGCGGAATCAAACTAAGTGCCCATCAGTGGATAAATAAATAAAGAAAACATGGTATATACACACAATGGGAGTGTTATTCTGCCACAAAATAAATGAAATCCTATCATTTGCAGCAACATGGATGGAACTGGAGGCCATTATGTAAAATGAAATAAGCCAAGCAAAGTAGGACAAACATCATATGTTCTCACTCTTATGTGAGAGCTAAAAGAGCGGAACTCATGAATATAGAGAGTAGATTGCTTGTTTCTGATTGGTGGTTACCAGAGGCTGGAAAGGGAAGGAGACGAAGGAGGAATAAAGGGAAAAAAAAAAGAATATAAATGTATTTGTAACCACTAAATGGTACACTTAAAAATGGTAAATTTGATAATAGTAAATTATATATGTATATAACTCAATCAAAAAAACAGAAAAGCAACATTAAAAAAAGAAATGTGTTTGTATACACATTTTCTACTATTCTGTACCACAATAGGGTGACTATAGTTAACAGTAATTTATTGTACATTTTTAAAGAAATAAAAAAGTGTGATTAGAATGTTCCTAACACAAAGAAATGATATGTGTTTGAGGTGATGTATACTCCAATTACCCTGATTGATCATTTCATAATGTATTCCTGTATCAAAACATACATCTACAGCATAAATATATACAACTATCATCATAGCCATAAAAATTTAAAAAAACTTAAAGGCTTCAGGATATATAGCTAGTGGTCCCATATCTTCTCGGTACTCTCTCTTGGTCTTTGCCTTCTAAGGGTGGAAAGTTTTTAGTTCATATCAGGTAGCCAGTCTGAAAAGACTGGGGGAGTCTAAGACACCAGCTTGCTCTTGGTATGAATGTGTGAAGCCCTTGGCTGAATTTTTTCTTAAAAAGTCCTATCTCTATGGGGCTTTTGACATATTTTGCTATCTTAAGGACATTGAAATTATTGGGGACCATGGAGATGCCTCCTCCACTCCCTCCCTAGAAATACTTCTTGTTTATATGATTTTTAAAAAGTACCTGAAAAATTACTATACAGCCTTTAAAAGGCTTTTGGATTGAGTCGCTATTGGAACTAAGTACACCACTAAAAGAAAAAGGACTTTAGAGATCTCTTATTATCAGCAATTTTTAAAAGGTTTAAATTAAAATAAGGATATATAATAATTTCATAGCTTTAAAAATTATCCTGGGCAGTTTAAATCCTTTGCAAGCCTGAAAGATAACTGCTCTGTACTCCTTCTGGAGAGAGCAATGGCAACTGTCCCATAATGTAGCTCAGTAGCTAAGCCTCTGCCCTTTCACAATGGTGCCCTGGGTTTAATTCCAGGCTTCAGGGAATGAGTCCTTTCTGTTGTGGTATTTAGGTATTTATGTGATCTTTGCCATTTATTGATTTCTTTCCCCTCTATGAACAACTTCTGACTTCCTGTCTTGAATCTTCCTTTCTCTGACCTACCTTCGGGGCACTTCTGGATTTTGTAAAAACCGCTTGCCATCTCTTTGGAGACAACTTGTGCATGCCTGGTTAAGTCACAACATTAGTTAAAACTTAATGGTTTCACTTGGGAAAATACCTTTGATAAAAATAAAAATTTTTTTAAAGAAAGCTTAAAAACCAGAGGAGTTGGCTGTTTGTCCCAGCTAGAGTCTGGTAATAAGATATCTTAAAAATTAAATAATAATAATAATAATAAATAAAAGAGCTCTAGAGTTAAAAATCAGCTTAATTAAAAGTAGATATCCAAGCTTATACATATATTTAAAAAGGTCTTTATGTTTTTTTCTCTTCTTAAATGTTATTTTTTGAGAAAAAAATGGACTTCTTTGAGAAAAAAAGTTTTTTATTTTCTTCTCAATCAACTTACTCATTCCTTCATTTACTTCTGCCTGTGTTCTTGCAACCCTCTATGCTCACGTAAGAGGATGTAAGGTAATTTCTGACAGCCTGAGACTCCTTGGGAGAAGCAGAGGAGGCACTACAAACCCCAGTTTGAGAGAAACTTCTTTTCTCTGTTTTCTTAATGGAACCCCAAGAACTGTAAGTGGACATATTCGTTTCAAAATCTAAGGCTTTTCTCTGTTTGGCATTACATTATCTGAACTTCTTCACTTTTGGGGGCATCAAAAGTTACTTTGAATTATGAGAAAACCTTTAGTCTTCATGTGTAGAAGGCATGTCTTACATGCCATCAGGGAAAAGAGAATGAGAGCCAAGCCAAAGGGGAAACCACTTATAAAACCATCAGATCTCATGAGACTTACTCACTATCAAAAGAACAATATGGGGGAAACTGCCCCCATGATTCAATTATCTCCCACCGAGCCCCTTCCACCACATGTGGGAATTATGGGAGCTATAATTCAAAATGAAATTTGGGTGGGGACATAGGCAAACCATATCAGATACTGTACTTGCTAGATGCTTTAAGGTTATAAACTACTTCCATGACTTCTAATAATCATTCAACTTGCCCGCTTCGGAGCCATTATATTCCAGGTAAGGCTTGGGGACATAGAATTATCAATGCCCCTAGACAGGCTGGAAAAGAGTCAGGCATTACCTGCAGTTCCTATGTCCATGGCTGTGCACCTGATACATAATTAAAATTGCTTACACTACAAATGAAAATTATGTTTTTAATAAAAAGACATCGGAATATGGTTTATTGTAAGATAAAGTAATTTTGTCTAATTTAGAGAGTGTAAATATGGTTTTAGGTTAAAACAAAGATGGAATAAAACTGAAGGTTTAAGCAAATTTTAGATAGTTATAAAGGGCTTACGAAAATTTTTTCTTGGATATTAGCCCTTTGTCAGAGGGATAGATTGTAAAAATTTTCTCCCATTCTGTAGGTTGCCTGTTCACTCTGATGATAGTGTCTTTTGCTGTGCATAAGCTCTTTAGTTTAATTAGATCCCATTTGTCAATGTTGGCTTTTGTTGCCTTTGCTTTTAGTGTTTTAGTCATGAAGTCTTTGCCCACGCCTATGTCCTGAATGGTATTGCCTAGGTTTTCTTCTAGGGTTTTTGTGATTTTGGGTCTTACATTTAAGTCTTTAATCCATTTTGAGTTAATTTTTGTATAAGATGTAAGGAAGGGACCCATTTTCAGTTTTCTGTTTACAGCTAGTCAGCTTTCCCAACACTATTTATTAAATAGGGAATCCTTTCCCCATTGCTTTTTTTAATCCAGAATCTACTAAGAACTTAAACAAATTTACAAGAAAAAAAAATCCATCAAAAAGTGGGTGAAGGCTATGAACAGACTTTTCTCAAAAGAAGACATTAATGTGGCCAACAAACATGAAAAAAAGCTCATCATCACTGGTCATTAGAGAAATGCGAATCAAAACCACAATGAGATACCATCTCACGCCAGTTAGAATGGCGATCATTAAAAAGTCAGGAAACTACAGAAGCTAGAGAGGATGTGGAGAAAAAGAAATGCTTTTACACAGTTGGTGGGAGTGTAAATTCGTTCAACCACTGTAGAAGACAGTGTTGTGATTCCTCAAGGATCTAGAACCAGAAATACCATATGACCCAACAATCCCATTACTGGGTATATACCCAAAGGATTATAAATCATTCTACTTTAAAGACACATGCATATTTATGTTTATTGTGGCAATGTTCACAATAGCAAATACTTGGAACCAACCCAAATGCCCATCAATGATAGACTGGATAAAGAAAATGTGGCACATATACACCATGGAATACTATGCAGCCATAAAAAAGGATGAGTTTATGTCCTTTGCAGGGACATGGATAAAGCTGGAAACCATCATTCTCAGCAAACTAACACAGGAACAGAAAACCAAACACCACATATTCTCACTCATAAGTGGGAGTTGAACAATAAGAAGACATGGACACAGGGAGGAGAATATCACACACCAAGGCCTGTCAGGGGGTGGGGGACTAGGGGAGGGATAGCATTAGGAGAAATAGCTAATGTAGATGACAGGTTGATGGATGCAGCAAACCACCATGGCACATGTATACCTATGTAACAAACCTGCACATTCTGCACATGTATACCAGAACCTAAAGTATTATACATACACACATACATACATATAACAGCTTGTTCTCTCTCTCTGTCTCTCTCTCTCTCTCTCTAGATGTATATATATACACATACATACACACATATAACAACTTGTTCTCTCTCTCTGTCTCTCTTTCTATATATATATATATGTAGCACTCTCTATATATGTATATAGCATATATATAGCATATATATAGAATATATACAGAGCAGTTTGTACTCAAACATTCTTTTAAAAATAATTCCCCTTTTGTTTTTATTCTATTGTCCTATTCGTTGATAGTGTTATATAAGTAATTGTAAAATTTAAAATCTGGAAAGAGAATTGGACTCAGAATGCCGTCTCTTTTGTTATTTTAAAAGGAATAGAAATGAACATACATATTCATTTTCTTTCATTACACATCCAGAGAAATAGAATGGATTGTGTAAACATGTAAAAGCAAGAATTTTGATCACTGATAAAAAGGGAATGTTTGGTCACTATCTTAATTCATTTCTTTTTTCTTATCAATTTTTTCTTTGTCAACTATTTGATGACATCTCCAAACATCACCTTTTATTCATGACAGGAGTTGGGTATCATAGTAAAGAACACTGTTAATATAATCCAGATCCTTCACCACCTTCTGAAATATAGAGGAGCTTTAAGACTATGTGAATTTTTTTTGTTTGTTTTTCCTTGTATTTGTAGAAATAGCATGAGCTTTGTTTAAAGTCAGGCATCTAAAACCTTGCCCTGTATGTATTGACAAACTACACAAAATTTGTGATCTATCTATTACAGTTTGTTCAACTGTAAAACTAGGATAGCAAAATCTATGTCATATTTTGGTTATCATGATTTAAAAAGCATGTTTTAAGATCTTAGTATATAATAAATCTCTACTCTGTTAGTTGAAAAAAAATTTTCTTATGGTCAAACTGGTTAAAATTGGACAAATTTGTTTATAAAATTATATTAAAATTAGCTTTAGCATTAATACACTAATGCAAAGGTAAAAATAGTTTTTCTCTTTTAAACAAGATTTTGGTTTGCCTACAGGTAAAAGCAAGGGAGAAGAAACAGATTCATCTGGCCTCATACTGTCTTTAGTGAGTCTTGTTTGAAAAGCTGAGTCTCCTCTTTAATAAAGACCAAAGATTTTTGCTTTATCAAAATACTTGAATAAATCATTTCAGCTAAATAAACAAACTGTGGTCCTATTTTGTGATATAAAGCATTTTAAACCTTTGATACTTGACAAACTTTCCAAAATCAAATTCTAAATTAAGGCTTTTTTGACTTGATTAAGCTTTTTAGATATTAGGTCACCTGAAGTCTAAGAGACACATTTGGACTGTTCCTTAAAAGGCTCCACCCCAAAGCCAATAATTCAGTTGAAATATTTACATCTTTAAGGAAATCTCCATGTGTAAGTGTGTCTGCTATACCTGGCCATATAATCTTGGCTGAACTTTTACTCACACCATGTTTCCTTGGTTTGAATAAAATACAAATTCTCTATCTTATTTCATGTAAGAGTTGTCCCTTTAGAAATTCAAATTTAGAGTTTCCTAGCTGTAAATTTCTCAAACGCAAGAGAGCTGTTTTTTCAGGCTATTCACTTAGATTCCAAATGGCATCAGATCTCTTCTTAAAAGTATTATTTAACTAGGCTTAAGCATTTTGGTAATTCTTTGATATATTAAAACCACATAGTGGGGCCTATCTAGGATAGAGGGTGGGCAGAGGGAGGGAGATTATCAGAAAAAATAGCTAATGCATGCTGGGCTTAATACCTAGGTGATGGGTTGATAGGCGCAGCAATCCACCATGGCTCATGTTTACCTATGTAAAAAACCTGTGCATTCTGTACATGTGTCTTGGAATTTAAAATATAATAATAACTTTAAAAACCATATAGGAAACATTGTCAAATATAAAACAGTTTTAAATTTTCTTTGGGTTATATTCATATGTTATTAGTATGTATTACAAAATTATATAAGATTCCTATAACTCTAATATGTCTCAGTATATGTTATCAATAATAATTAGAATTTTTCTGTTAAATTATTGTATACTGCTGAGACGAACATGTCTCCTTGTTGACTGAGTCTTTAACTGTGGCTATCCTAAGACTTTTGTTATGCACAGACAGACATTTGTCATCTTGTTTTAATACTTTTCAAAAGACAGTTTATAACCAGCTATAGAATTCTGATAGGCACTATTGAATGCAGGTCTCTAATAACTTTGGAAATTGGGATTAGGATAGATAAAAAAACTTCCAAGATTCTCTTGGAAAGCTAATGTGTTAATAAATATCAAGCAGAACAGAAGTTAATTACATGGACTGAACTAACAGAATATTGAGATAATACTCAGGATATTTTGTTTGAAACATTGTTGATCCTTTCTGTTTTTCAGAGTCAATAAAACTTTTTCCTTTTTAGCTGCTTACAGATGTTAACCATGGAGTAAAATACACTCCTGTGAGCAAAACTTGGAGCATATTTCTTTTTCTCTGCCTCATTTCTCCAGAATTTGGAAACTATTTGTGAGTATACCTAACTTACAGCAATTTAGTTATTTGCATATATGCAACAAGAATCTGTTTTCTCTTGTAATAGGACACATTTGGAGACACTGGTTATTTTACCAAGCCTTGACTGAAATGACATGCTTTCAGATATAATCAGACTGTTTTAAGAAATCAAAGTTGACTTATAAAGCCAATAAAAGACCCTTGGGGAAATTGGCCTCATACTTTGTCTATGCAGTCCCTGTACAGAATTCCTAACCTGTGGTAAGTAATTTCCATACTCTTGAGAAATCCAGAGTATGGAAAATAGCCCAACTCATACAGGTATTTGCAGGAACAGATAAATTCACGGCTGGGCTTGAGGCTTTAAAAAGTCTAATCTGAGTTTCATTATGGAACAAAGTTCCAGCAAAGCCGATTAAAAAAATAAAAAGCCTATATAGCAAATAATTATTCTTCCTATACTTTATGCTAATAATCAGGCAAGTAAAAAAAGACTAAAACTTATTTAGCAAACAAATTGGTCTTAATATATTTTATCTTTGATAAAAATGAGAGACTGGAGACAGAAAGATTATAATAGACCTGCTACTAGATTCTAGTCTTGTTCATTGTTTTTGAGGTGTTTTAAAAATATTACTTTCTACAATTTGGACTGAATCTCAAATCCTATCCGCGCTAATGTTTTAAAATTTTTCTTCAATTTTTCTGACTTGAACTCAGAATTCTGACTTCCTTTTTTTCTGAGGTTGTACAAGGTAAAGTTATTCCTTGTGACACAGGTGAGAAAAATGTGTCATATTACCACTGTTTTTCTCCTCTGTAACAAAAGATGTTTTGAGTCTAACATCTGGATAGATTATGTGCACCATTAATGTCTGTTTTTCTTCTGTTTCCATAGAAATGCTTTTCATTAAAAGTGTTTGCCTTATATTTCAAACACAGGAGACTTATTTTCTAGCCTATTCACTTAGTTTGCAAATGGCATCAGATCTCTTCTTATAAGCATTATTAAATTAGGCTTAAGCATTTTATTAATTATCACTGCGTGCTACTTGATTTTTTCTAAAAAAATTATTTGTTCTATTCAACAGGGGTGCAGACAGTTAAAGTTTATGTCTTCGAGGCTTCAACAGTTTCAAGTCCCTACAGGTATTCACAACAGTCACTGAGAGTTTTCCACACCCTACAAGTTTAGGCAGAGATGATAACCCTGTTCAGAAAGTAGCTTTAGAAGATGACATATTCAGCTCTTTATCTTTAAGAATAAGGAAGGTGAAATCTCACAGGGGGGAATGACATAGAGTAGGAATGAAGCTTTGCTTCAGCTCACCCCCTTTAAAGCAATCCCACTGATCACAATAACCATACCACTACCTCACTGCTGATACTTCTTTTACTTAAAGAATTCCATGAACTGGCCTTAGGAGGTAATCAAAGCTGTGGAGTGTCCAACCTAGGGAAGGAATTCTGAGCAATTTATTTATGACCTTGTTGCCGCAGACCAGACCACCAGGTGAATCACTACTCAATATAACCGTCACAACCAGATAATACTGCCCTGTATACTCTACCCATCATTTGCTTTTCCCAGCCCAACCCACATACCCTAACCCTGATGTCAATTTCTGTGCTTTGCCTAATAAAAGTCCTACCAGCTTTTTTCAGAGAGTCAATCAGGGAACTCTCTCTCTCTCTCTCTCTCTCTCTCTCTCTCTCGCTGCTTCCCTTATGTCCAGGCATAAGCTCCAATGAAGCCTTGTCTGGGAGAATGCTTTCAGCCTTATGCCAATTTCTATGGCATTAAAAGCCCAAGAACCCATCATTAGTAACACCTGCAACTTGGATCTCCAGGCCACCCACATTTCTGAAAAAGCAGCTACAAATTTGTGAATTCCTGTAATCTTCTGAAGTTCAATAATTCACTTAAACAACTTACAAAACTCAACAAGTACCATGATTACAATTATAGTTTTATTATAAAGGATAAACCTAGGGCAAGGACTGGTAGCGTCCCAGAAACAGAGTTTCCCATACTTTTCCCTAGGGAGCCAGGGCATGTTACCCTCCAGAATATTTGTGCCCTCACCAACCAGGAAGCTCTAAGGAGCCTGAGTCCAGAGAGTTATTTGGGTTTTTATTACATGGTCAAGATCGATTAAATCAATGACCATGTGGTGGAGCACAATCTCCAGCCTCCCTCTTTTCCCCAGTGGTCAAGCTGACCCCACGTTCGAACTTTTCAATATTGTAGTTGGGCTTTTTGGTGACAGCTCCCATCCTGAAGCTATCTAAGGACCTACCAAGAGTCAAGTCATTACTATAATAAAAACCTTCCCATCACTAAGGTAATTTCAAGAGTGAAACCCTGAGCCCTGGACACAAACTAGATATATTCTTCATTATACCACAATACTAATGGCATGTGTAAGTATTGCTCTTATCATTGTTCTTATCCTAATCCTTAAGTGAAACTCTTGGGACTTAAACTCTAGGCCCTGAAAAAATGTATACTTCTGTTATTTATAATTCAATCAAATAATGACCCTACTTCATTGATATACTTTGCTCCTTGAACTTTGAGTAATTTAGATTTTAGTTTTCAGTATTGATGTCTGAAAAAATCGTATCGTTACGTTTGTTTTGAGGAACTTTTGGTTGTTCATTTTCTTTTGTATTATTTACTTCAATTTGTATAGGTTAACATCATTATAGAAAACATAGCTAATTTCCTTGGAGCTTCTGTGGGATCTGGATTTTAGATTTCAAATGCCATGTTCATGTACATTTGTAAAGTATATTCACATACATACACAAATTTATTATAAACTTCACGGCAAAATGATAAACAGTAAAGCAAATGAATCATCAGTGGTTCTTTAAAATGCACTTACCAATTTGTATCTCTCCACTACACTATATCTTTATAACCAGGATTACACAAATAGAGGAGGCAACTTCTAGATCATACAGTGTGACTCTAACAAAGATAACTTTCAGTAGCTAAAATAACAAAACAGATAATATTCTTTTAATAAGTAAACACATTTATTAGTAAGAATTTCAGGTGGGGGGTTTCTGTGGATATGCCGTAGACTGCTTCCTTGTATGGTCTACCTTGCTAATTTCTTTTTATCAAAGAAACTCAGCTAATATAAACCAGGATTTGCTCAACCTAGGCATTTATTGAGAATTAGGGTTGGATAATTTATTGTTACAGAAGCTGTCCTGTGCATGGTAGCATGTTTAACAGAATCCCTGCTTCTACTCATTAGATGCCATTAACCCTCCACCACACTCACAGCTGTGACGACCAAAAATATTTCTGGATATGGGCAAATGTTCTCTAGGGAAATTCATCCCCCTTCCCTGTTGAGAAGCATTGCCATCGACTGACATTGATTTTTGCTTTTAAAAACATCAATTAATGTTTGTTTTATATCTCGTATGCAGAAGTTGTTTTATATGTACACATATTAACACAAAGGTATTAATTTTGCATGTGTTCTTTTACGAACGGTGTATTCCATGGCCTTTCCCAGGCCTTACGTATTTCTGTAAACACAACTTGAAAAGTAACTATTAAGTGTTCAGAGGTTATACTTGGATTATGTACTCCCTCCTTGACGCATGACTACTACCAGAACCAAACACACACACATGCAATGGTTTCATTTTGCATCGTGTGTTAAAGATGCAATAAACAATAAAAACAACTACACACAACAATGCAAACAATCATTGCATTTGTAAAACAATAAAAATGCAGATCACACTTTATATATACTTCAAAGCCAACCACCAATAACTACATAATCAAAACAAGTCTTCTTGACTTCTCCAAAATGCTAGGTCTAATCATAAACAAAAGGAAAAATGTAAGCTTTACTTCCTCAGCAGCATGATTCAGTAAAATTAAATGAATTGGCTATAGAGAAATCAACTTAAGCAGTTGTTTGCCTTAAAAAATATATTAATGTATAACAGCCAATAATAAAAGAGATCAAAATACTTTCTCCTTTGAGCTTTATAAACTGTGTTGTAACTGTTGTAAGGCAACTTCTTACCACTCTTAGTTTGTGGTTTCCCAATTCATGAACTGTTATTTTGTACATACAATAAACTTTATTTTTTTTCTGATTTGATCTGATTTTATTTTTGATACATGTAATGTTTGAAATGATTTCCCAGTGGTGAAAGAATGATGATAGACAATGTTTTAAGTGCAGACACTTTGAGAGCCACCCTATAAAAATCCAAAGTTGTGCAAAAACGCTCATGAAAGAAGACTGTACTTTTTATTTTCAGTTTGAAGTCAAAGAATGTGTTTCTGGCTTTTGCATTATCCTATATATTTGCCTGCACTCACAAAAAACAACAGTCAGTGCAAAATAGTTGTCTAAGCATGATAAAAGTCTGCTTAGAGTGAAAAGCAGGTTTCAGTGGGATAAACAGTAAGTATCCTGACTTTTAGGAGGCCAGTGATCATTAACCTAAACCTGATGATAACCAGCTCTCTGATCCTGAGCAATTCCCCTTAATCTTTTTGGGCCTAAATTGGATGTTTTATTCAATAAAACTATTGGATGAAATTATATCTAGAGTCTCTTTTAATATTTTATTATTCTATAATGCAGATTATAATTAAATCTTAAAATTGAAGTAACAAAGTATGAACAAAAATAGCAACATCTTTCTGCATACATTCTTCAAGAACTAGAGCTTGCTGGAGAGGTCACTGAGATTTCCCACAGGCAAACAGAAAAGAGAGTGTTAGAATAAATCACTGGAGTCCCAAACAAAGATCAAACTCTGAAACAATAATATTCATGCTCTGAACTGTCAGAGAAAGTTACAGGTTGTCTGAACTTACCCTAGAACATATGATAAGAAGGGTTTCTTGACTTAATTCTGAGCAGTTGGCAGTCTGTGCCTTTTGGGAATATCACAAGATAATATTATTCAAATATCCTTTGACTTGATGCCAGGGTAATCTGATTCAAGTTATGTGATAAAAGGGGTTTCAAGCTTCTGACGGAACAAGAGTAAGATTTGGGGATCATAATAAAATGGTTTTTACTATGAAAGGCAAGAATTTCTGTAGTTTAGAAAAAGCAAATTTAAGAAAAGTGAAGGTATGATGAGCAAAAGTGTGTGAAATTTACCCACTTATATTTTAAGTGTACAATGCACTATTGTTAACTATAATGATACTGTTGTACAGCAGATCTTTAGAACTTACTGATCTTGCCTGCTGAAACTTTATGCCTATTGATTAGCAACTCCCTCATTCCCCCACCCCCAGCCCACAATTCTACTCTCTGATTCTATGAGTTTCACTATTTTCGATACCACAATAAATAATTAAGTATACAACTCAAAAATGAAACAAAAAAGTCTTTTGTTTGTGGCTCATCAAGCTCTAGTGACCCTATATATCAAACACAAAAGTTCTGTGTGGCTCAACCAATCTTACTCTGATGCACAAAATAGCATAGTTAATAAAGAAAAAAAGAAAATTTCTTTAAGCATATAATTAATATGGACAATATCTTCCCGTAATTGAGATGGAGACATCTCAGAACCATTGAACAAATGGAAAATCAAAATAAAAAACATCTGTTGTTGGAAACAGCAAAGTTTTCCATGCATTTTGAAACAGTTATTGCATAGCACTTGAGAAAAGTCTTTGAAAATGTTACTTCCATTAGCACTCAAACAGAAAATCAACTTTTATTAGGAAGGCAGGGAGTGTCTCGAGGGCAAATTTACCTGAGATTCATGGAGCATTGCATAAACATAGCTAATGAGACAAGAAATATTTTTGCAATAAAAATACAGAAAAATGCCTTTGCTACTTTACCAGATATTAAAAAAACTACATCTCATGTCTTTGGTACCTGTAGCCAATTGGATGGGCTGTTCTAGAAATGGAAACTATAAGAAGTATGTTTCTAGATTGCTATCATGTGGCAAGCTTGTTAAAAAATGGTGAGAAGTCAGATGAACAAAATCATGTATATTAAGTCACATATTAGTAAAAAAGACATTAAGACATTAAAGAGGAATGATTTAAGAATTTTGCATTTTTTTCTGAATTAGACGTCTTGGCTCAAGCCTTTCTATTACAAAGAATCTGTGACTTTTACCATTTATCTCATATTTTCTCCCATTTTACTAAAATGCAATTGCCCAATGGTACTACATTGGAGGCAGGATTTGAATTCAGTTGTTCCTACTTTCAGACTCCACAGCTCCACTACTGATGTGCTGCTCCTCTCTCTCCCTCTTTTACTCCTTCTTTCAATTCCCTTCTCTAATCTTCCTGCCATTCTCCATACCACACCTGCAGGCCTTCTCCACCTCACATGTGAAAATGTGCCTATTATGTATATCATTTCCTCAGGAGACTACTAAAGTATTGTTTTTTCTTTGAATACACTAACTTATTTTAAGTAAAAACATTTCTCTATAGCAGAACAACTCATTGAAGAGGAACTTTTGGATTCTAGCTGTAGGGTATAGGACATATGTTTGAAGGACATTACTCAAATGTGAGTACAAAAGGTGTTGCTGATGATGGTGGCAGCCCACCTGGAGCAGATACTGCAGAGACGCCAGCTGCAGCAAGGGAGGAGCAGCCAGGGCTGCACGCTCCATGGAGCTGGTGGGAGCCAGGTACAGGTGAGAGCCCGCCCACTATGGAGTTGGCAGGGTAGGAGCCTGCACTCTTGGGCACAGCCAGAACCGCCTAGCAGAGGCTCCGCACTCTCAGGGATCCAGGAAGCTCCCTACCCCCATAGGCTTGAAAGTGCCTCATTCCATTTTCTGGCTTCTCTCCACTCCTGGCACCCACTCCAGGGCGAATGCAAAGTTGTGGCTGAACCCAGGTGATGTCACTACCCACTGAGTATGCGTGCACTCAGGGCAGCCCTGACACACCAGCCCCCTGCTACCTCAGCCGCCTCCTGACTTTGGACACCAACAAGCGTGGGAGAGAGGCCGGGGGTGCTGAAGGTGGATCAGTGGGGACCTGCAGGCACCCCTCATTGCAGACAGTCTTAGCACTGTGGATGGCATGTTAATGGAGGAGGCAGACAGATTCCTAGGTGGGAAGGGACAGGTTCCCAGTGAAACCCCACCTTCAAGCCAGGGATGGCCTAAACCATTGGGGCCAGGCTGCCAGTTCTGGGTGAAGTTGCAGCCTGGAGTGAGAACTTCATTGATGACCATTTGGCCAATCAGATGGTGCTTTTTCCAGGCCCTCCCATGGCTGCCTATGGATCAGTCAGCACACACTTCCTCCGTTTTGAGAACATAAAAACCCCAGATTCAGCCAGACTAAGACACTCCTCAGGATGACCTGCCTTCAGAAAGGAACTACCCCCTATGGGTCTCCTCTCCACTGAGAGCTGGACACTCATCAGAGTGGAGCTGCACACTCATCAGGATGACATACCCGCAGAAAGGAGCTACACACTATAGGTCTCCTCTCTGCTGAGAGCTGGACGCTCATCGGGATGGCCTGCCTGCAGAAAGGAGCTACCCACTTCGGGTCTCCTAAGAGCTGTTCTGACCCTCAGTGAAGCTTCTCTCTACCTTGCTCACCCTCCAGTTGTCTGAGTACCTCATTCTTCCTGGATATGGGACAAGAACTTGGAACCTACAGAATGGCGGAACTGAAAGAGCTGTAAAAAAAATAGGGCTGAAATACACCCCCTCCACCCCTGCTCACCATGTTGTGGGCAATGAGAAGGAAAGAAGAGCTGTGACCCTTCAGAGAACACAGACATATGGGCTCCCAAAGCCAGGGCTGTGACACCCTCTTAGGAGCTCTGTGGTTCCTGGCATCTCCAAGCTCCTGAGCACCACCACATTCCCCTTGTCCAGATCTGGGAGCCTGCAGTGGAAGCTGCTTGCAGTAGCTTGGATCCAGCTGCAGCCTTGCACAGAGCCAGCACCTGAGCCGGCATCTGTGCTGGTGCCTGGAACTACTTGCCCTGCTGAAGTAGCTGGCATGCCTGGCTGTGCACAGTGGCTGGACCCCATGCTTGCTTGCTCATACACTCCTTGCCATTGCGTGCCTGGCTTGCCCTTGGCAGGTGTGGGATCTGGGCTGGTAGCCCAAGCCGAGTGCAGCCTGCCAGGCCAAGCGGACGGAACAAGTCCAGAGAATCTGAGCAAAACTTAGGCAGAGGTGCCACCAGCCACACAGGTTTCTGGCTGGAAAAGTGACACCCTAAGGATCCTATGACACTACTTAGTTTTCCTGTGCAAAGGCCATCTCTATCTCCAGTTTAAAAGAAGATCCACAAATGGAGAAAGTAAAACAATATATATATATACTGCCAATTACTCCCCAACCCCGATAATGGGGAAAATTGACCTGTATAATTCATGATACATACAGCTATTAAGGCACTGGATACTCATATAAATTCAACAGTGAAAATCCAGGTAGTCAAAGTTCTTTGAGTTGATCAAGTGAGTATACTGTTTTAAAAACAGTATCTTCAAGAGATTATATAATACAGGGATATATCTGAGGAAAATATTTAATAAATTAGTTATTTAGTACATTCCAAATTCCTTTTTTCATCTTCTACTTTAAGTTCAGGGGTTATGTGTGCAGGTTTGTTCCATTGGTAAATTGTGTGACACTGAGGTTTGGTGTACAAATAATCCTGTCACTCAGGTAGTCAGTATAGCACCCAGTAGTTTTTCAACCCATACCTCCCTTCTACCTTCACTCCTCTAGTAGATCGCAGTGTCTCTTGTTCCCATCTTTATGTCTATGTGTACTTGTAATGCACGGTTTCCACTTATAAGTAAGAACATATGACATTTGGTTTTCTGTCCCTGTGTTAATTCACCTAGGATAATGGCCTTCAGCTGCATCCATGTCACTGCGAATAATATGATTTCTTTCTTTTTTTAATGACTTCATAGTATTCCATAGTGTATAGGTACCACATTTTATTTACCAAGTAGACCGTTAATGGGCATCTAAGTGGAGTTTATGTATTTTTATTGTTAATATTGCTGCAATGAAGATACAAATGCATGTGTCTTTTTTCTAGAATCACTTATTTTCCTTTGGGTATGTACTCAGTAACTGGTTTGCTGGGTCAAATACTAGTTCTGTTTTAAGTTATTTGAGAAATCTCCAAACTGCTTTCCACAGTGGCTGAGCTAATTTGCATCTCCACCAGTAGTGTACAAGTATTCCCTTTTCTCTGCAGCCTCACCAACATCTGCAATTTTTTTACATTTTAATAATAGCCATTCTGACTGGTGCGAGATACTATCTCATTGTAGTTTTGATTTGCTTTTCTCTAATGATTAGTGATATTCAGCATTTCTATTTCTTTCTTTTCTTTTTTCTTTCTTTCTTTCTTTCTTTTTTTTTTTTTTTTTTGAGTTGGAGTGTCACTCTGTCACCAGGCTGGAGTGCAGTGGCGCAATCTTGGCTCATTGCAACCTCCACCTCCCGGGTTCAAGTGATTCTCCTGCCTCAGCCTCCCGAGTAGCTGGGACTACAGGCATGTACCAGCACACCCAGCTAATTTTTGTATTTTTAGTAGAGATGGGGTTTCACCATGTTGGACAGGATGGTCTCAATCTCTTGACCTCATGATCCGCCCGCCTCAGCCTCCCAAAGTGCTGGAATTACAAGTGTGAGCCACCACACCTGGCCAGCATATGTTTATTTATTTGTTGACCAATAAATAAATGTATGTCTTCTTTTGAGAAGTGTCTATTTATGCCCTTTACCCATTCTTAATGGGACAATTTGTTTTGTGGTGGAACTGCTTAAGTTTCTTACAGATTCTGGATATTAGACCTCTATTGGATGCATAGTTTGTGAATATTTCCTCCTATTCTGCAGTTTGTCTGTTTAATGTGTTGATAGTTTATTATGCTGTGCAGAAGCTCTTTAATTTACTTAGGAAGCACTTGTCAATTTTCGTTACAATTGCTTTTGGGGACTTAGTCATACATACTTTTCCAATGCTGATGTCTAGGACGGTATTTCCTAGGTTTCCTTCTAGTTTTTATAATTTAAGCTTTTACATTTAAGTCTTTAATCCATCTTGAGTTAATTTGAGTATATGGTGAAAGATAGGGGTCCAGGTTCATTCTTCTGCATACGGTTAGCCAGTTATCCCAACACCATTTATTAAATAGGGAGTCCTTTGCCGATTGTTTGTTGCTATTGGCTTTGTGGAAGACTGGAGAGCCATAGGTGTGTGATTTCTGTATTCTTTGTCATATTCCATTGGTCTATGCATCTGTTTTTTTATCAGTACCATGCTGTTTTGGTTACTATATCCTCGTAGTACAGTTTGAAGTCAGGTAGTGTGATGCCTCCAGCTTTGTCCTTTTTGCTTAGGATTGTTTTGACTATTTGGGCTCGTTTTTGGTTCCAACTAAATTTTAGAATAGTTTTTTCAAATTTTTTGAAAAGTGACATTCGTAGTTTGATAGGAATAATGTTGAATCTGTAGACTCCTTTGGGCAGTATTACCATTTTAATGATATTTTTCTACCAATCTATGAGCATGGGATATTTTTCCACTTGTTTTTATCATCTATGATTTCTTTCAGTATTGTTTTTTAGTTCTCCTTATAGAGATCTTTCACCTCCTTTGTTAGATGTATTCCTGGGTACTTTAATCTTTGTAGCTATTATAAACGGTATTGCATTCCTGATTTGGCTCTCATCTTGAATGTTAATGGTATGTAGAAATGCTACTGATTTTTGTACATTGATTTTGTATTCTGAAACTTTACTGAAGTTGTTTATTGCCTCTAGGAGTCTTGGCAGAGTCTTTCAGGTTTTCTAGGTATAGAATCATATCACCAGTGAAAAGAGATAATTTGACTTCATTTTCTATTTAGATGCTCTTTCTTTCTTTCTCTTGCCTGATTGCTCTGGCTAGGACTTCCAGTACTATGTTGAATAGGAGTGGTGACAGTGGGTATCCTTGTCTTGCTCCCCTTAAGGGGAATGCTTCCAGCTTTCACCTGTTCAGTATGATGTTGACTGTAGGTTTGTCATAGATGGCTCTTATTATTTTGAGATATGTTCCTCTGATTCCTACTTTGTTGAGGATTTTTATCATAAAGAGATATCAGATTTTACCAGAACTTTTTTCTGTAGCCTTGTTTCTGTTAAGATGATTGTATGGTTTTTGTTTTAATTCTGTTTATGTGGTGAATCACATTTATTGATCTGCATATTTTGAACTAGCACTGTATACCAGGAAAAAAGCCTACCTGATAATCATGAATTAACTTTCTAATGTGCTGCTTGATTTTATTCATTTTCCAAATTCTTAAATGCTTGTATTATAAGTTTTACTATTTATTTATTATACCTGTTTTTCCCTTAACATCTTTCCACATTTATTAAAAATAAAAATACAATAACATATTAATTGTGAAGAAGTGTAATTTTACTCAAACCTCAAAATATTATTTCTTTTCTGCTTTCCTACTTCATTTCAGATTGTGGAGGGTTAAAGTTAAATTAATTAAACTTAACTTATGAGCCTAAACCTGACAAGCCATGTAAAGAGGCACTAAAGTAGTATAGGGAAAAACTCTGCTTCTCCATTAGTTTAGAGTCAATTTAAATATGACATTGAACGCCAAAAGGGGGCATAATGGTGAGAAAGTGTAAGAATATAGTCTGGAAAGAACTCAAGGTAGGTGTTTCCTCTGCATTCTGTAAGGCTTTCATGCTTTGGTTATGGATCTGAAACCTTAGTTTGTGCATTTGAAGCTGGTCATATTCTGAATTTACTAATTCCTTTGAAGTTCCTATAAGAATATTTGAAAATTAACTCCATTTTAATACTTTGCAAGGAGAAATAGCTATTGTGTGCAGAGATTTATGTAGAAAACTGAACCAAGGTTAATAATTCTTTGATAAACATGCTTTTTGCTATCTTTGAAGATGTCAACATATTCTTTCTTTTTATCACATTCCACCAACATAATTACTTCATTTTTCTTCAAAATGAATGAAAATTCAGATATTCATTTCCAATGTAACTTTGAAATAGGTACTGTGTTACTGCTTCTCTCCTGAAGATAAGTCTTGTAATGTGCTAAATATGTGGCAGTTCAGCAGAAGATTCTGAGTGTTCTTCATGGATCTACTCTAGGAGCCTAGAAGAAGTAAAAATGAGAGGAATGTCTCAAATCAAAATTTCCTTGGAGACTAAATGGGTTCTATGTCCTTGTAAGCTACACTTGCTAGAAAACTGCCTTTCTTCCTGCTCTGCCTTGCCTTGGGTTTCAAAATAAATTCCTACATAAAATGAACTCTATATCCAACTTTGTCATCCTATCCAATCTTCATCTGTTTGACTGTGATCTCTCTACCATTGCTACCTCCAGACAAACGATTCTTCCATTTCTAAACCATGTTGCTAATTCGAATCTTCTACACCACTATTTAGTAGTGATCTTCATCATGTGGAAGTCTTCAGTCTTACTTTTTGCCATCTGTCACTATTCCTGGGGAAATATCCGTATATCTTTATATCACTAGCATGTGGACAGAGCAACCCCATTTAAATGTGAATACCAACAGCTATAGATTGACTTTTCACTAAATAGTATCTGGTCTGTTTGCCTCAGAGGGGTTCCAAAAAATGCACATGCAATTCTAACATAGCCCACCTATCATGCCATAAATGGCAGTGTTTTCAGACGCTGATCCAGTAAGACCACTTTTTTGCTAGCTACAGCTGTTGTCTGCCCGTGAGCATTTCTCACAACAAAGCTGAGACCTCAAAGAGGAAATACTGATCTCTTGTCTTTCTTTCCAAGCCCTGCGTACTGCTCCATTGAGTTCGTCACAGAACAGCAGAAATTCTATGACACCTTATTATTACTAATAACATTAATGTAATTAATATGTGTTTACTGTAGAAAAATATCAACAAGGAAGTCAGTAAAACAAAACTATAAAGCACCGTCTATCTGCCCATTTTCCAGTGTCAAAATATTAGTTTCCCAAAGTAAACTATGAAAAGTTTAAGTACCTGTTAAGCCAGTTACATCATTTCCTTTCTTTAAGTTAATATGATCATGTTTTATATATCTCTTTGCAACTTGCTTTTTTTTAATTGCCAAGCATCTTGGACTTTTTTAGATCTCAGAAAATACAAATATTTTATATCGGAATTAGAATGGTTTCATTATGTGTTGGCTTCAGTTATTCCCACATTCCTTTATCTGTACTTCTTTATGCCTGGTTTTACCCTACTGATCAGCTAGGACAACCGGCATTACTAGGCACTGATGGTGGCTGAGCTCACCCAGCAGATTTTTGACTCCAAGAACGTAACGGCTGCCTCCGACCCCCGCCTTGGCTGCTACCTAACAGTGGCTGCTGTTTTCAGGGGCCACATGTCCATGAGGGAGGTGGACGCTTAGGGTCTAAAACAAGAGCAGCAGCAACTTTGCTGATTGGATCAGTATGTTACAAAACATGTTACAAAATATTTTTTACATGTATGTGTTACTGGATTTAAAGACTTGACTTGCGTTGACTGTGCGTTGTCCAGTTTCTTGGTGCACTGAACAAAGAATTTGAACAAAATGCACAAACAAAGCAACAAAAGAACAAAGCAACGAAAGCAGATTTATTGAAGCAAAAGTACACCCACAGAGTGGGAGTAGGCTGGAGCGAGCCACGCAAGAGCCCTAATTGTAATGTTCCTTGGGGATTTTATTGAATTAAAAAAGCACAGTGACACCCGTAAGTTCCCTTTAGAGGTTTCGGATAGGTCACACCCTATACAAATGGAGGATTTTGCCCAGGACAAATCAGAGGCATCCAACCTATGAAATGCATGCAAATGACGTTACAGAATGGGCCAATTACAGACAGCCATTCCCGTTCAGGACACAGGGTAGGGGGAGGTTCGGAGACGGAAGGCCCTTTGGCTCCTCATTACTTGGTGGTAGCAGGGTGGGGTTTTCCTTAGTCCAGTTCCAAGAAGACAGCTAGGAGTTGGCCTTAGGTTTCCTGTCACCACTCTCTCCAGACCGTATTCTCCTGCCTCATAAGTTTGGGTAGTGTGTGTGTGTGTGTGTGTGTGTGTGTGTGTGTGTGTGTGTGTAGGCAAAATTAATAGATGTAAACTAATTGGCTTAAGGAATCTGTATATTTTTAACTTTGGTAAATATCTATAAATTGCTTCCCAAATGTTTACACATATTTACACTCCTTTAAAAATGTTTATTTTTGTAAATCTTCACAGATTTCAAGCTGTGTATGAACACAGGAAAAAAATCCCAGGAAAAAAATCTTAACATGTAAGTTTTAATTTATAGTTTTCTAATTATAACAGGGTGAGAATTATTTTGCATGATTATTAGCCATTTCTTTTAGTTTTGCATGGATACACATATATTGCCATTTCATGTGTTTCGTCCATTTTCTTTCTTGTTCATATTTTTCTTCTTATAGAGAAAATTAGACCCTTTAATATATCTTGAAAATATCTCCTCAGTTTGTCATTAGCCTTTTAATTTTATTTCATTTTTACTTTGACTTGTTATTAACATTATTATTATTTTGTTATATAGAAGTAACAATTGAACTGAAGATTTATAACAATGAAAAAGTTGAAATCAACAGAGAATAACTCCAACTCCCTGTGCAATTCTAGACCTAGGCAAGCTCTTGGGTTCCCTCCTGGCTGCTCTGCATGGCCAGATTTCTGCCAGCCTTTAGATTCAATAGAGAATATCCCTGCTTCTCAGTCTAAGCTAAATAGACCCTCAGGCCCAGGAAGTCGGTTAATTTTCCTTCTTCAAAGAGCCCTTGACCCAGAGCTGACCACTTCTCCCCTATGCCCAATGATGGTACTACCTTCTTTAGCATTACTTCCCAACTTTCTCCCTTGCCCTTTCTATCATAAGATTAAGGCCACCACTTCTTCCTCACCCATTCTGATGTCATATATATATATGTATATGTATTTTTTTTTTTTTTTTGAGAGAGAGAGTTTCACTCTGTAGCCCAGGTTGGAGTGCAGTGTCGCTATCTCAGCTTACTTCAACCTCTGCCTCCCAGGTTCAAGCGATTCTCCTGCCTCAGCCTCCTGAGTAGCTGGGATTGCAGGCGCCCACCAACACGCCCGGCTAATTTTGTATTTTTAGTACAGACGGGGTTTCACCATGTTGGCCAGGCTGGTCTCGAACTCTGACCTCAGGTGACCTGCCTGCCTTGGCCTCCCAAAGTGCTGGGATTACAGGCATGAGACACCGCACCTGGCCTCTTTTATATAATTTTAGTTTTACCCTGAAAAATGACTCCTGACATATTCAAACTCCCTGCCCAATATACTTATTTATTTTTCTTATATTCAATTGCCACATCTCTTATAAAATCTTTCTGGAAACACCTTATGCAAAGTTAAACATTCTTTCTTCATCTTGTTTCCAATAGCTTGGAACAAAGAACAACCATGGATTTACTTGGAAGCCATTCACAAACATAACAGACCCGTGGGAAGATGTCTACCAATAGCTGCTTTCACCTAGTAAAATGTTTTTGAGGTTCATCTACATTGTAGCCTATATTTGCAGTTTATTTTATTAGTAAATAGTATTGCATTATATGGTAAATAGACTACATTTTGTTTTACCCGTTTATTATTTATGGACATTCGGATTATTTCTAGTTTATGGCCATTATGAATACTACTTCTGTAAGCATTAACAAATATGCCTTTTATGGATATATGTTTTTATTTTTCTTCAGTAGGTCTGTAGAAGTAGAATTGCTGAGCCATACGGTAATTTTATATTTAACATGTTACCAAAATCAGACTATGTAAGGCAGCACAAGGGATTTTTAGGACAGTGAAACTGTTCTGTATGATATAGTTATGGTGAATATATGTCATTACACATTTACCAAAACCCATAGAAAGTATAATTCCAAGAGTGAACCCTACTGTAAACTATGGTCTTGGGGTGATAATGGTGTATCAATCTAGGTTCATCAATTGTAACAAATTGTGGTGTTACAATATGTATTGTTTTCTTGCACAGTTCTTGGTTCATAACTCCCATAGCCCTTGTTCTCAACTTTTGTTATAATATTGGATATGTCAGCCGTCAGTAGGAAGCCAATAATCTTCTCCTGCCCTCCTTTCTCTCTAATGTTTCCCCACCTTTCTGAATGTGGGCCTTAAGACCCTACCCTGAGAGGACCCTACCCTATACTCTGGGGGAAGGAATGCTGATGTCATGAAGTTTCCATAAAAAACCAAGAAGACAGGGTTCAGTGAGATTTTAGATAGCTGAACACTTGGTGGTTCCTGGAGTGTGATGTGTGCAAAGAGGGTATGGGAGCTCTGTACCCCTTCCCAAGTATCTTGCCCTACATGTCTGTTCATCTGTATCCTTTGCAGTATCCTTTATAATAAACCAGTAGATGTGTTTCCCTGAGTTCTGTGAACCACTCCAGCAAATTAATCACATCTAAAGTGGGAGTCAATGGGAACCCCAACTTGAGCTGGTTGGTCAGAAGTTCCAGAGGGCCGAACTTGGGACTGGTGTGCTTGTGGGGGAAGTCTTGGAGACTGTGTGATCTGTAGGATCCCAACCTGTGGTATCTGACACTGTCTCCAGGTGGATAGTCTCAGAACTGAATTAGAGGACACCCAGCTGGTATCTGCTCTTGGTGTGTGGGAAAATCCCCACATACGTTTGGTCAAGAAATCTTCTCTGTTGATTGTTCTGATGTGAGAATAGAGGAAAAACGGTTAGAAAGAGTTTTCTCTACGCACAAATTTACCAGTGTGGTGGGAGATATTCATAACATGAGAGGCTATGAATGTGTGGGAAAAGGGAGTATATGAGAAATCTCTGAACCTTCCTCTGAATTCTGCTGTGAACTTAAAACTGCTCTAACAACAACAGCAACAATGTCTACACTAAAAAACAAAAAGATGCAGAGGCATGCGCCATCCAGAGCTGCTTGGAAATGCAAGGGTCATGCTGTTTAATTCTTGGCTTCACTACCAAAAAGCACCTTGAAGTATGAGATCATTTATTTCACTATCTGGTGTTAATTTGGATTCTGTCTGCTGAATTATTTGATTTTTCACTTAGTTGGTTACAAAATCTGGTAAGGAAAATAATTGCTACATATTTGGTTTTCTCAGAAATTTTACGATATGGTATGTGCTATTTATACTTTCCATTTTATCCAACTTTTCATATTGACTGAAGTTAAAATGTGCCTATTTTTTTCTATGATAGTTTTTCTTTTTTTAAAAAACTTTATGCTTTATTATTATTATTTTTCCTTAAGTTCTGGGATACATGTGCAGAACATGCAGGTTTGTTACATAGGTATACACGTGCCATGGTGGTTTGCTGCACCCATCAACCCCTCATCTACATTAAGTATTTCTCCTAATGCTGTCCCTCCCCTAGCCTCCCACCCCCCGACGACAGGCCCCAGTGTGTGATGTTCCCCTCCCTGTGTCCATATGCGCTCATTGTTAAACTCCCACTTATGAGTGAGAACATGTGGTTGGTTTTCTGTTCCTGTGTTAGTTTGCTGAGAATTATGGTTTCCAGCTTCATCCATGTCCCTGCATAGCACATGAACTCATCCTTTTTTACAGCTGCATAGTATTCCATGGTGTATATGTGCCACATTTTCTTTATTCAGTCTATCATTGATGGGCACTTGGGTTGGTTCCAACTCTTTGCTATTGTGAACAGTGCTGCAATAAACATACGTGTGCATGTGTCTTTATAGTAGAATGATTTATAATCCTTTGGGTATATACCCAGTAATGGGATTACTGGGTCAAATGGTATTTTTAATTCTAGATCTTTGAGGAATCACCACAGTGTCTTCTACAATGGCTGAACTAATTTACGCTTCCACCAACAGTGTAAAAGCATTCCTAATTCTCCACATCCTCTCCAGCATCTGTTGTTTCCTGACTTTTTAATGATTGCATTTTTCTAATGACCAATGATGATGAGCTTTTTTTCATGTTTGTTGGCCGTGTAAATGCCTTCTTTTGAGAAGTGTCTGTTCATATCCTTTGCCCACTTTTTGATGGAGTTGTTTTTTTTTTCTTGTAAATTTGTTTAAGTTCTTTGTAGATTCTGGATATTAGCCCTTTGTCAGATGGATAGATTGCAAACATTTTCTCCCATTCTGTAATCATCATGCTACCTGACTTCAAACTATACTACAAGGCTACAGTAACCAAAACAGCATGGTACTGGTACAAAAACAGATATATAGACCAATGGAACAGAACAGAGCCCTCAGAAATAATGCCACACATCTACAAACATCTGATCTTTGACAAACCTGACAAAAACAAGCAATGGGGAAAGGATTCCCTATTTGATAATTAGGGTTGGGAAAACTGGCTAGCCATATGCAGAAAACTGAAACTGGACCCCTTCCTTACACCTTTTACAAAAATTAACTCAAGATGGATTAAAGACTTAAACGTAAGACCCAAAACCATAAAAACCCTAGAAGAAAACCTAGACAATACCATTCAGGACATAGGCATGGGCAAAGACTTCATGACTAAAACACCAAAAGCAATGGCAACAAAAGCCAAAATTGATAAATGAGATCTAATTAAACTAAAGAGCTTCTGCACAGCAAAAGAACTATCATCAAAGTGAACATGCAACCTATGCTAGTTTTTTAATGGACCCAATTATAATTTAATCCCAAAACTTTGTGACCTAGCTGTAAAACTTATCTCAATATATAGAAACATTTTAGGTACCTTTTTTATTTCCCATGTTATTATTGGATTACCTTTTAGAACATCCTCTTTCACTAATCTGAACTGGTTATTTTCTAGGACTGCTAAAAATCTGCCCTCTTGGCTGCATTTACTGCCATCCTGACAACTGCAATGCATCTCTCCCACACTGGCTCTTTGGTTTCTGTACCACACATCAGTTATAGCATTTATTGCATCACACTGCTCTCATTTATGAACTGGTTGTCAGCAAATTGAGGCAGAAACCATAGATGATTTGTATTTTTAATCATCTGAGCCTGACACAATAATCAATGCATAATAGATACTCAAAGAGTATCTGAAGAATTGAAAGAATAAATGCTGTAGCTTAAAAACTGTAATAGAAGCCATCATGAATAAAATTCCAGTGACTTAAATTGGCTACAATTTATACAGTGCTATTTAGGACAGAATTGATTTTTCTGTGGTTAAGCCACAATAGGTTTAAGTGGCTTCACCTAAAATTTATTAATACATTGTCCTAATAAAAATAATCAAAATGACCATAACCATCCCAAATTTTCTGTTAAGAGCAGGGAACTTTACTAAGCCCTGATACATGGCATATGCTTTACCTTAATGGAGCACTGCTATCATATTCAAGATAGAATTGTATATTAAGATACAAATGATGTTATAAGGTTACATGTACCAAGTGACCTATAAGAGCTTGAAGGGAAAAATGATAGAATAAGCCTTACATTATTTTATTCCTGTGAGATTTCCACAGTCTTTGGTTATGGCCAATGTCTACTTAAAGGAACAATTTCAAATCTCCAGTCAAAGAATGAAACTTGGTAAATAATTTTAACATTTACAATACATTTTCTATCAGGCAAGACTCTTTTCCTTCATGTATCAGAGAAGTGGGATCTGGTGCATTTCGTAGAATCTTAATATGGAATTTAATATGTAACCTTTATGATCTAATTATTTAACCAAAGAGGTAATGAAATTCATGATCTAATAAAAGCATTTATTATGAACCTTGTACATTGTAATCATTTAATTTTTCTTAATTTTACTTATGCTCCAAAATTAAATTAAATTTTGATTATAAAACATGATACATCTGACCACTACTTTCTTTATAATTGATTGAATTATGATTTAACATCTCATTTGTGGTAGCAATTATGCTATACTGGGTTTATTAAATTATTTGGCTGTGAATATTTTTCTTAGACTTAGAAACAAATTGCATTACCCTCCAACCTATCAAAGATTGATAAATTTTTATATTATAAAGATTTAAAGTCCATTCTAGGATTTAAATTACTTTGCAAATTGGAGGTTCATGTATATGTACATCTGTGTGTGCATGTATCTCTATTTAGGCTGACCATTTAGTAATCAGACTAATAACAATAATTGTAAAATATAATAATAATCAGTAACAGCAGTAATAAGTAAGGCCTAGCAAAAATATAGATGTGAACATGAATATGAAAATTGATGTAAATATAGTGGTTAGAGAGAAACAAATAAAATAGATATAACACTGACCGAATTATGTGGAAGAATAATTTAATCCAAAATATTACAAGAATCACAAAAAAATGTTCTTGAGAATGACAGAATGTTAAACCAACAAGGATTAATTACAGGCTAACACAACATTAATCCTTGAACAGCAGTTATTGGAGACGATTATTCTCGAAATAGATAGATCCAGACACATGGTTCTCCTCTTGCCTATCTTATTCTGGGATACTTCACAAAGATCTAGCAGAGTCAAACATTATCCTCTAGATGCTGGCGGGGACATACATAACAGGAAGTTGTCAAGAACCACATTAGATCCTTTCATATACAATTTCTGTGCTATAAGAATGGACTGTTTTTATCTTAAGGCACTTGGAGAATTTCTTATTCCATGGTTTCAAGAAGTGAGACATAAATCATTTTTTTCCTTAGTTCTTTTAACTAGTTGCGATGGCTGGGAAGAAGATGTAGAGATGGAATAGAAATGCAAATGGTTTATTAGGAAATAACACTTGTGAAGATAAAGAGAAAGGAAGCAGGATTGGGCTGAGGCTGCCCTCAAACTGCAGTTCAGAACTGATGAGTGCTTTGCCAGCCTGATGGGAAACTCCAGAGCAAAGACTGCCTATTAGCAAAATATTACCTTGCTCAGTCACCGGTTTGAGGTCACCCCTAGGAGACCATTACCTCTGTTTCAAAGATCTCATAGATAGAGGCTATCAGCTAACCAACAGTCTTTGAAGGTAGGCAGCAAGTACTTTCCTGTCAAGAGACCTGAGTGTCACACACAATGCGTGCCACGCTCTTCAATAGTATCTTGATAGAGTGTAGTCCTAGTTCAGGATTCAAAACCCCATAGTTTTGATTTCATTATGGGCAAAAACTATAGACACATTTCTTTTAATATGGCTTTCCTCAAGAGAATTCACAGAGGCTCCACCCACACCATTGTATGCTGTGTGATATGCTGCCTGTGATACACTTGCCAACCTGGAGGGTGACTTTTCCCAACAAACAGTGCTTCCTGTGCCTGCTGCATTTGTTTTGTGGTATCCCTTTTCCTCTTACAAAGCAAAGAAGAAAAAGGCACTTCTTTTTGATTTACAAGATGAGAAAAAATTATATCACATTGATGATTCCCACGTCATGCAATTAGGCATGTCAGTCCTACCCTTAGTAGCTGAATCCACATATTAATATCCAATCATATTGTTACCAATTTCAGAAGGCTTATAGAAATGCAGACATTTGAGCCCTCTCATATTAACTTCACAGATACCTGAGATCATCATCTTAATATCCTCAAGACTTATTGGGCCAGATGTGGCGCCCCATGCCTATAATCCCAACACTTTGGGAGGCCTAGGCAGGAGGATTCCTTGAGCCCAGGAGTTGAAGACCAGCCTGGGCAACAAAGCAAGACCCTGTCTCAAAAAAAATAAATAAATAAAACACTTTGTTAGGGTCAATTTAGGATCCTGCTTGGGAGTCAAGAAAGATCTTATTTTATATGATCCCAAGTGCAGTGCTGTTTTCAGAAGGTTGATGAAGATTGGTTTCAGCATGCAAATTTGCAATCAAGAACACAAAGCACAGGGCATGGAGGAAAAGCAGAGAATGAACCAGCTTGAATAAAAGTAAAACTAGAAAGATTTTCGGAGGAACCTGGAAGAACAAATGTTCACCTGATAAGCGAACCTCAGCTTTCTTTGTGTATCAGTCAATTCCCAGGAGTCTTTGCTAATAGTAGAGAGGAACTACAGTTAACTTGCTCCTATAGAAATCAGCTCTAAATTCCTGAGGATGCTGGCTTGACTTTTCTTTACTGGACCACTGCAGATCACCAGCTTTCGACAGAGTCAAGAGCCAAGACAGATACACGGGCCTTAAAACTAGAAACTTCCCTTTCCTCAATAACAGAGCATGTCACCTTGTAATGAAACACTTTGTCTAGTTTTTACATGTTCCAAAATGACTATTGTTTATAATGAAGTTCTAAGCTAAGACTTTTCACAGGAATTAGATCCAATCACTGACTGAATAGCTCAGGATGGGTCATGCCATTGTGAGATTATATGTCACAGTTTACTTGTGTTCTAGTGTGAATATTGGTGTTCTTAGAAGGAAATAAAACAGACTGAGCAGTCACTTCTAAAATATGATTCTTTTTCTATGTTCATATTAGCACTTCCTGATTAATAATTCAATGAGATAATTTTATTAAAGCAAATGAAGATACTATAAGTTTCAAAGCTACTCTATAGTAACCCTTTTACTTTTTAAACACAATATGATGTTTCAAGCATGATTAACATGAATTTCCAGAGAAGACTTAATATTCTTAACACATTAAACACTAAGGTAACAGCCAGTAATTATCCCTAGGAAATGGCTGTGTCCATAAACTGTTCAGCCTTCGTCTTTGTAGATCAATTTCTAGCAAGTAAAAATAGGGATGGACCAGGTATATTTTACAGGGAATTACATTTTCAGTCAATGATTTTGACACAATAGCATCCTCTTGGTTAAAAAGAGAACAGCTCAAATAATTATTTTAATAGTTTAACAGATGTATAAGAAAGTAAGTAAAGGAAGGGCTATGCTCAGACTGACAGAGCTAGATAATTATCTGGGATATATTTAAGTGAATTTTTCACCAATAAACTGCAAACTTCTGCCTCCTATTTGGAAACCCCTAAGGGATAAGCACCCCACTGTGCTGAAATAAACAAATTCAAAATGTAGATGAATATTTTAAATTCAACAAACTGGACCAATTCTTCCCTCGATCAGTCATCTATAGAGTGTTCTGGAGGAAAGATGTGAACATTTACTGAGTTCCAGAGACTAGATAGGTGTTTTACACTTACCCTGATGTTTTATTGCCTCAGCAGTTCTGCAAGGTAGTTTTTATTATCTTTCACGTATATGGGAGAAATCTGAGGCACCCAAGGACTAAGTAACACGTATTAACACTTGGTAAGTAGAGAGTTAGACCTGAGAGGTTTTCAGCAACCAAATTCTGTCTTTGTGAAATTCTCTGTTACCTCATTGTCACCACCAAATTACTGTACTTGAGTCTCAGTGAAGGTTTGGTAAATGGATTTGAAATTCTTTTGATTTTTTTTCTATACCCAAATATATTAATAGTGCATTTTCCTAATAAGATATTTAGCTTACATTTATGACCCTTTGAAATATTAAATTAATATATTGACAAATTCAGACTATAACATTTCTGAGAGAAAGTATCCTGGTAAACCTGGACTGCAGATAACCTTCAAACCACCTTATTGTAATGGTTACCTACTCTGCCTATCTCCAACATGCTCTGATTTCCTAATATTTACCTTAACCATATATTGTCAGTAATGTGCATACCACTGAAGGCAGAGATGAGAAAAAGATGAAGGAGTAATAATTAGGCCTAGTCATTATGTGTGCTACCATTCTTATGAATTAATTGAGAAAAAGTATAATTTCCGATTTAGAATATATATAATATAGAATATCAAATGCAAAGATTCAGAAATTTTATTTTACTCTGGGATTAGAAAACACCTTTGAGTAGGTTTAAATTATCCCTTCCTTTAGTCCCTAACTTAGAGTTTTTATAGTTAAATATAACTATAATTTGAAAAGTTGCTGAAATCTTCACTTAGTCTATCATGCAAGGGCCCAAAATAGACTCAGAAACATATTACACAGATTGCTCATATTTCTAGAAACATGAGTCTCTGGAGATTTGTTTAAAGTTAATTATAATTTCATTATAATGCATATGCACATAATATAATTTAGTGTCTTTACCTTTTGTAATTTACCTTCATTTTTAAATGCCACTCAAAATAATAAAGGCAAATTCCTATTAATAAATGTGGGAGTTTTATTAAAACAGCGATTAAAAAGAAATAACATTCCAGAGACTTAACATTTAGCTCAAAAACTCTTACTGCTCTCATGCAAATGATGATGCTAAGAGACATCTTTAATTTAATGTTGGCTAATGCTGTGCTTTGCTGGAATAGTCAAGTCAAGATATTGTATGCATTAGGAGGAATCTCTATGGTAACTAGAGCGTGGAACTGACCAGGAAGAGGTAAAAAGGAAAATCTTGAAGTGATGGAAAATTTTTATATTTTTGTTTGTTGCTGGTTATCAGAGTGCATATATTTGTCAAAACTCATTGAGCTGTACATTAAAAATGAATACATTTTGTTGCATGTAAATTATATGATAAAACTTCTTTTATAACATAAAACTTTTGTGATATTAAAGCTTTTATGATGTAAAAACTTTTATATCATAAAACTTCTTAAAATACACATGTTAACTATACAAAATAATAATATTGAGAAAAGTTATATTTCTTGAAAAAACTGTTTTTTGTATACTAGATTCCTATTAATCTGATATCTAAAACTACTAGGATGCTGATATTTTTGTTTGTATAATATTGCTACTTAAATACTTTTAGATATCTGATTCATCTCTGCCTTGGGATGTAAAAGAAGTTACTACCTGAACTAAAATTTAAAATCAAACAAATTTAAAATTTACTTCTGGTTAAAATCTTCTCCAGGTTTTGGTACTGTCATTAGATTATTAATACCATAGGCTATTATGTGGCTGGGCATCTTTCCTTGGATTTAATTTTTGTATATAAGTAAAATTTCTGTAAGCTTAGTGCTCTTTCATATATAAAACCAAAGTTCACTTACAAATTAGCTTCCAACCACAAAATCCACCTTAAGGACATTAATTTAATTTAATGCGACAGATAATGCTCATTGTCAAAATCACTGCTCTTGTGTGTCACAATGGAAACACGTAGCCTCAGGATAGTTTTACAGTCAATTTTATTCTATAAGTTTTCTTGAATAATACTAATATAAGGAAGTTTATGGCCATAAGAATGTTAGGCAAAATTACATTCAATTATCTAAAGATTTTCTTAATGCCTAGAAGAAGACATCATACTTAATGAAAACCTTGCTAGAGCCATCTTCAATATAAATTTTAACAGTGTTTCACTTAATAAACATGTAAATTTTTTTGTTTGCTTGAAGATTTATTCCCTATTGTATCATTATTGAATTCTGTCTTCAACTGATACGTGATCCAATTATTATTGGGATCGAGGTCAAAATGGTCTTCCGTGACTATTTCATTGGTATCTTTATAGCCAATAAACTGTTGAAGTTGATAGGGACAGGGGAAGAAAGCCAAGTCAAGCATACTTGCATGGTGAATGTGGAACCAAAGCTACAGTGTAGGTTTCCATTTGCCTGGGGATGTCCATATCCTTCCATAATTTTTCACTACTTAAACTACTAAAAACATTATACAATAATATCCCTTCCCCTTCTCTTGGAACAATACTATCAAAAACACAAATGTACACATGGGTGCTGAAATTGGGTGATCAATCATAATAACTGAAACATGATTTTTAAAATATATAAAGAATAAATTTTAGAGTCATCTGTGCTGCTGTGTGGTTCATTATTTCTTCCCCTGCCCCAAATTTACAAAACTGCTTTATTGAGGTATAACTGACATACAAAAAATATCTCATTGTTTAAAGTGTGCATTTTGGTAAGTTTTGTGAGATGTAGAGACAGCCTTGAAACAATCACCACCATCAAAATAATGAACATATTCATTACCCTCAAAAGTTTTCTCATGTGCCTTTATATAAAACAGAGCCCTATTATAACTGACATTGACTATAACTGTCAGGAATCTTTTTATATTTACCACAGAAGAATAATAAACATACAAACATTTTTCAAATAGAGAAGGTCCATTTCTCCATTCATTGATTACAAATATATCAGCTTTTAAAACAAATGTAACAACATTCTCCTCTTCTACTGTGCAAGATATTTTGAGTTGTTTGTTTTCAAATTTTGAGCTAAACTGGTCACGGTGTGCTCTGAATTAATGATTTTCAAACTTTACATAACCTTAGAATCACATGTAAGGTGTAATAAAACCCAAGTCACTGGTATTTACCCTCAGAGTTTCTGATTCAGTAGGTTTGGGTGGGGCTAAAAAAATTATTTTTAACACATTCTCACATGATGCCGTTGATGTTAATCTGGAGATCATTCTTTCAGAACCAATGGTCTAAATTACTCCCATTTTATTTCACTTCCAAAACAAACTTTATGGTACAACATGTTAAAAATAAACACAATAGTAAGGCTAGTTTGAATGTTGTCCAAAAACTGCTCCATTAAAGAGTTAAAATTTGATCTTCCAAGTGAGGTATTTAATTTGATTATACATTTTGCATAAATTTATGAGGATTTATTGTTAGATCCCAATCAATACTCTGAACAAAAATTGTACAGTAATAAATCTAGGAGGTTCAAAACATGTGAAAATGTAACGAGGTCATAAATGCCTCATAGAGTTTGCTAATTTCCCATCCACACATTTTGCCTCATTCTTTTAAATTTTTTTGCTATTATTTTGTGATCAAAGTTAGCCACATTTATTATACAACATTTAGAAAATGTATTAGTATATAAAGATGCAAATAAACATGATACATAATCTCACATAACGTATCTTATAGTTATATGGACTACATCTGTATGTGAACAAGACCGACAGAAATGAATAGATATAAAGGAATCAGCACAGACATAGATGCATATAAAATATTTGTTGTGAAATGCCATCAAAGCAAAAGTAAGAAACTGGTTTTCAAATTGTGTAGATTTTCAGTCTTTGACATACCAGAGAAATAACGATATTCCCATTCATTGCAAAAGATGCAATTTTGTAAAATTGTGTGCATTTATATTTAAAAATTGAAAAATATGTGTTTTATATTTAAAAGTTAAAAATTTATATGTTCACTTTTATGGCTATTTCCCACATTAAATTATTCCACGTGTATTTTCCAACTCATGATGTATTTTCCAAAACCAAAATTTTTAAAGAATGAAAACCATTATTTCATATATATGTGCTAAGTTTAGTGTAACTTCCAATATTAGATGTCTAGGTATTTTCTGATTGATTTCTTTAAAAAAAAGTTTTTTTTCTAATATAAATAACACCAAAGAATACCACCAAACACAAGTAACCATTTATCTATCTATTTTTTGTTCTTTTACTACCATGTTGTTTTAATTTTAGTATTTTGTAATGTATTTTAATGTTCAGTAGGAGATAGTCCCCCTATTTTATGAGACTCTATATTTGGCTATAATAATTTCTCTGCAAATTAGTGTTAGAAAAATATGTGGGATCGTCAAAATTCTAAATAGGTTTTGATTTAATCTGCATTAAAGAAATAAATTGGTGCATAAAAGATCTGTCATCCTATCTTTTAACAATTTTTAATCTCTCTCTCCAAGGCACATGGTGAGTTTCATTTAAAATTTGGCAAAATTTTATAGTTTTCATTTTGGAAATTCTATATTTATTTTGTTTTTGTTATTTCTATGTATTATATGTTTTCAGTTATGGTAAGTAGAATTTTTATTATATTTTATGGACTTTTTGCATATTCATTACATATTTTATCCCTTATTTAAGAGATGTGTTATATTTTTATTGTAGTTACATTATTTTTATTGATAAGATATTTTAAATTTTACCAACGACCTTTCAGTATTTGTGGGAGAAAATTGTGTGTCACTGTATTGCTGATTTTTCTTATTATTTAAACAGTTTCTTTGAGGTATCACAATATGACATAAAACTCAACCATTTTAAATGTACAACTCAATATTCTTTGAAAGTCTATGGAGTTGTGCAACCATCACCACACACCCAAGTCTGGAATATTTCCATCATCACAAAATTTTCCCTCATAACTTTCTGCAGTTGTTCTGCTTCTGTCTCTGTCCTGGGAAACTATTGATCAGCTTTCTGTCTCTATAACCCTTTTTAGTCATTTCATATAAAAGTAATTACATGTATTTTTTGTTCATTTTGGTTCTCTAAACTACGGTAAAGGGTCTGTGATTTTTACCCCATTTTCAAGATAACAAGTGATTGTGTCACATTTTTACTGATGCTGGCAGAGAGGAAGGATAGTATATCACTCATGACAACAGCATTATGCAGAGTATGAGCAGATTTCTGTGTCAGTTCCCCATACCCCAATTCTCACAGATTGACATGAAAAGGGCCAGGTGAGACCTGTACATACATTGGGTTGTAGTAACCAGACAGGGACACCGAGCTTTAGCAATTTTATAATAGGGAGTTAGCATGCCTGGCCTATGCTCAGGAGGGAGATACCATATCTGCATTCCAAGCTGTTCACTGTGTAGATATCCTTGAAAATATAGCCTGAAACAAAGAGTATCCAGATGCTAACTCAAAAAATAAGAACACAGGTGAAAGATCCTTGAAAAATTGTCCACCAACAGGTTTCTTTCACTTAGCAAAATGTTAAGGATTGTTTAGCATACGGTCTCAGTTTATTTTATTACTGAATAGCATTCCATTGCATGATGGATATACCACACTTTGCTTATACATTCACTATTTGTAAACATTTGGATTGTTTTCAGTATATAGCCATTATGAATACTACTGCTCTGACCATTCTTATATATTTCTTTTGTAACTATATATTTTAATTTGGGGGGTAGATTTCTAGAAATGGAATTTCTGGGTTATAGGTAAATTTATGTTTAATATGATAAGATGTCAGAGTTATACTCCATTCAGGGTTGCTTGGGATCGGGTACCCTGGGGTGTGTGATTCTTGAATTCACTATCAAGAAACATCTTTAAGTATGAAATTACATATTTCAATATCTGCTGATAAACTGAATCCTGTCTGTGGAATTCTTTGATATTTCACTTATTTGGTTATAAACTAAGATGAGAAATAGTAAAAGTATTTATTGGGTCTCCTTAGAAACATCAACAAACACAGGGCATTATTTTTACTTCATCATTTTTATACAACATTTTATATTTGCTGAAGTTAAATCATTCCTATATTTTTCCTATATTGTACTAGGTACACATTTCGAATTCAACTATTAATACTGCACTCCATGACAAAGCCATAAAACTTATCTCAATATATACAAACACATCAGGTACCTTTTAGTTTCCCATTTTATAATTAAAGAATCTCTCCCAGAATATCCTTTTACCAGTCTGCACTATTTCCTTTCTAGGGCCTATAAAAACCTGTCATCTTGGGCTGTATTTACTGTCATCTTGAGAATTGCATTTTTGTCTCTCCTATATTGGTTCTTTGGTTTCTGTATTCACGTCTTTCTCTCTTGGTTAATTCCTTATTTAGTGTAACATATTCTTAAAACGCTGCTTCAATAAAGTATATTAGGTCTCGACAACCCTGAGAAATTTCATGCTTTTATTCTACATCCATAATTTAAAATACCTTGGTAATGTGTAGAATTCTAAGTTAGAAATATTTCCTGGAGATAGTGAAGACAATACTCTTTGAGTCTCTGAAATAATAATAGAACGTAATCTCCTGCCAACCTAATATGCTTATCTAGGATTATTTCTTGATACATGAAAACAAATTTCTCTCTGGTTTTTATAAGGCCCCTTTATTTCACTAGCCTAGCCTTTTGAGTAAATAATACAGTACGATTTGAGTAATTCTATATTTTTGAGGTATTCTATTTACTTTTTTTCTTGATTTCCTCTCTTTCTCATAGGAAGACACTTTTTTATCTGTATTTTTCAGTCTTTCCATTAAAATTTCTGCCATTAAATTTTAATTTTTAATAATACTTCCCTGTTTTTTCATATTCTAATTTACAGCAGCCTCTTGTTACTCTATGACAGTATCTCTGCTTATCTTTTTGAGAATTTTAATTCACATTTGTAAGGTTTTCTTCTCCCAGAATTGTCTGGGTTTTCTCTGAGCCTGCATTGTTTTGGATTGCATTCAGCTTCAGCAGTAAGCTACAGTAACAATAATACTTTACTAATTGTGGCAGAAACTAATATAACAAACAATCCCAGGCTAGTGCTGCTGCTCAAAGATGGTGTCATTATTATTATTATTATTATTATTTTGCTTCACAGCCTTAGTGTGTGACTTTCTTTATTGAGGTATCATGATGGCTCTCATACATCCAGGCATTATGTCTATATTTCAGCCAAGAAAAAGAATAAATGGGGTTGGGTTAAAGGGCTAAAGGTATCATTAGCTGAGTTTATCTGCTAAAAAAAATTCCCCAGAAAGTTCACTTTGAAACTTCTTGTCATATATCTATGAGTATAGATATATGATATATCCAGAATACATGTCTGGTCTCATGGCCTAAACAAAAAGCCATCTCACCCTTTCCTATGGGGTTGATGAATAACTTTTTGATGGTTAATTCGCAGGAACAGGGACAGATGATGCTCTCAAATAGTGATTATTGCATTACCATTCATATTTAAATAATAAAACCTTTAAAATTAATTGTATTATCTTAGTCCAGACTTGGGGCATTGTTACCTAGTAAACCTCATTTGGAAGGTGTTCAGAAAAACGCATGGCCATTTTATCTGAGACCCCCAATATCAATATTAGTAAATCTCTAAGCTAGTTAGTTTCTCAGAAAAAAAAAGATCTAATCTGAATGGAAAGCATAAATCTGGCTTCCAAAATTTTAGAACAAAAGAAAGAACTTTGGAGTTTCTATTTTTTTCAGTATTTTGATCTCAACATAATTCTCTTGTTGGTGTTTTGGTTCCTCAACCAGAACTTCAGCAGTTATTGATGTTACTGAGCACAGAATACCTCCTGAAAGTAAGCACTCCAGAGAAAACCACATGGCTACAGAGGCTGTGGATTTCTTGAGACTAGAGATCTAATGCCATTCTAATTTACCCAGTGCTTCCAACTCTTTAGTCTCTATTTATCTTTCTCACAAATTAGCTAGCTTTTCTTCTTTGGCCCCTGTGTAGGCCTTTAGGTTTTGGTTTTCTCTATTCTGATATGCCTGGTACTACAGAACTATTTGTTTTCTATCTTTGAGTTGCCAGCAATTGCTCTATTCTCTACTGTTGTCTCCCTTCTGTTGTCTATTTTATTGTGATCTTAAACATTTTTATAGCTTTAATTATATTTTAGCATTTTGCAGAATGTAGATATTAATGCACTTTCTTTTTTTTAGCATTTTGCAAAATGTAGATATTAATGCACTTTCTTTTTATTTTTTATTATTTATTTATTTTGAGACAGAATTTCACTCTTGTCACCCTGCCCAGGCTGGAGTGAAATGGCGCAATCTCGGCTAATTGCAACCTCCGCCTCTCAGGTTCAAGTGATTCTTCTCTCCTGCCTCAACCTCCCAAGTAGCTAGGATTACAGACACGCACCACCATACCTGGCTAATTTTTATATTATTTTAGTAGAATCAGGGTTTCACCATGTTGGCCAGGCTATTCTTGAACTCCTGACCTCAGGTGATACACCCGCTTTGGCCTTCCAAAGTACTGGGATTACAGGCGTGAGCTACTGCGCACAGCTAATGCACTTCTTTCAACCAGAAGTTCTCCCCCATGCAGCCACACCAATATGTTTTAATATTTTAGTTGCTTTCACTAAACTTGGAAGACATTTAGGAAACAGAATGATTTATATTATAAACATAGAGGTACATTCAGTGATGTGTCCCAAAAGACTGCTGGTGTCTTACATTAAAAATAGTTACTTCCCAAAACAGCATGGTACTGGTACCAAAACAGAGATATAGACCAATGGAACAGAACAGAGGCCTCAGAAATAATGCCACACATCTACAAACATCTGATCTTTGACAAACCTGACAAAAACAAGCAATGGGGAAAGGATTTCCTATTTAATAAATGGTGTTGGGAAAACCGGCTAGTCATATGCAGAAAACTGAAACTGGACCCCTTCCTTACACCTTATACAAAAATTAAGATGGATTATAGACTTAAACGTAAAACCTAAAACCATAAAATCTCTAGAAGAAAACCTAGGCAATACCATTCAGGACATAGGCATGGGCAAAGACTTCATGACTAAAACACCAAAAGCAATGGCAAAAAAAAAAAAAAAAGCCAAAATTGAAAAATGGGATCTAATTAAACTAAAGAGCTTCTGCACAGCAAAACAAATTATCATCAGAGTGAATAGGCAACCTACAGAATGAGAGAAAATTTTTGCAATCTATCCATCTGACAAAGGGCTAATAGCTAGAATCTACAAGGAACTTAAACAAATTTGCAAGAAAAAAACAAACAACCCCATCAAAAAGTGGGCAAAGGATATGAACAGACACTTCTCAAAAGAAGACATTTATGCAGTCAACAAACATGAAAAAAAAAACTCATCATCACTGGTCATTAGAGAAATGCAAATCAAAACCACAATGAGATACCATCTCGTGCCAGTTAGAATGACAATCATTAACAAGTCAGGAAACAACAGATGCTGGAGAGGATGTGGAGAAATGAAAACACTTTACACTGTTGGTGGGAGTGTAAATTAGTTCAACCATTGTGAAAGACAGTGTGGAGATTCCTCAAGGATCTGAAACCAGAAACACCATTTGACCCAGCAATCCCATTACCGGGTATATACCCAAAGGATTATAAATCATTCTATAAAGACACATGAAAACATATGTTTACTGCAGCACTGTTTGCAATAGCAAAGACTTGGAACTAACCCAAATGCCCATCAATGATATACTGGATAAAGAAAATGTGGCACATATACACCATGGAATACTATGCAGCTGTAAGAAAGGATGAGTTCATGTCCTTTGCAGGGACATGGATGAAGCTGGAAACCATCATTCTCAGCAAACTAGCACAGGAATAGAAAATCAAACACCACATGTTCTCACTCATAAGTGGAAGGTGAACAATGAGAAGACATGGACACAGGGAGGGGAACATCATGCACTGGGGCCAGTTGGGAGGTGGGAGGCTAGGGGAGGGACAGCATTAGAAGAAATTCCTAATGTAGATGATGTTTGATAGGTGCATCAAACCACCATGGCATGTGTATACCTATGTAACAAACCTGCACGTTCTGCACATGTATCCCAGAACTTAAAGTATAATTTTTTAAAAAAGTGTAAAATAAAAAATAGTCACTTCACCCCTCAAAATTAATTAAATCCAGTTTAAAATGCTTTATACCAAAGGAGACTAAAAAAGAAAAGGGAATGTGCTAAAATATGAATTTCATTTTATTACTGTGTGAGGTAATTTTTCTTTCTAGTTGTTCAATGTCATTACAACTCAATTAAGCTCTGGAAATATTTATCTATAGTCTTTGATATTTCATTATTGTTGATGTTTCAGAAACTTCTCTAGGCTCTGAGCATAAAGTCTGAAGTCTGAATGGATCATTGTCTTCATAGAACCTATAGTCAATTGGAAGTGATAAACATGTGCAGGCAATTTCATGTAGGGTGATGTAACCTTTGTTAGCGAAATACTGCCTCTGATGAAGGCAGTACTGGGTACTCACTCAGAAAGTGTGGATTAAGGAAGGACATAACTTCTAAATTGAGACCCAAAGTCTTGCTACCTAAGGAGTTTGGATTTTTTTCTCCCAATCTTTCTGTCAGATTTGCCTTTCGTACTCCTGCTACTTTCAGGTAAGCTAAAATTCCAAGCTTTAAATATTTGACTCAAAGACTTTGTTTCACCAGGAAAACAAAAATCTTATCACCTAGTGAAATATATTTCTTTATACTCTCCATTACCCAAGTCGAGAACCTATATAATTACACAAATTTTTGCCTGCCTTTTGCACTGGTCAAATAACTGCACAGCTATATGTGGAGTTGTTGATAAGCCCTATTCCTTCTAGCAGTGAGATTTGGGTAGTTATTTAAGTTATCTAAGCTTTGCTTTATTCTCTGTAAACGGTGATAATTCCATCTATTTCACAGAATAGGATCACGTGAAGTGTTGACTGTAAACTGATAAACAATGTACTTGACATACTAGGTACTTTATGCTAAATGCCATTGTTACCAATGTATCCATTATATGAGAACAAAAACAGTTCAGGTTTATTTCTCATTGTGCTATTCTTATTATAAGGAACCCCATGATAATTGTTATAAGTAATGTGGACACGAGACATCCAAGTAGCAAGAACAAATACAATATGTACAATTCATATGTATATGAATAATATAAAATTATTGATTCCACTTGCATGTTATAATCTCTGCTATAGAATTATAGTGGTATAATGATATGTAATAATGATTATTATAGTTCATACTTTATTGATTTGTGTATTACCTACCACTATGTAATCAGGATCCTAGAGGTCACATTCTTTTGAATTTGTTTTGTAATTGGTTATTTAATTTTTTATTATTCTACAGCTATTATATTGCCATTTTGGCCTATATTCAGAAGAATAGATTTGTTTTCTGTGATAAAGAAATAGAATGATTTTGTCTTATTGTCTTGTCCAGAAAGATGAATCATGGAAAGACACTAAAATCAAATATCTAACCCTTTGTATTAACACTAGAGGCATAATTTTTGTTAACTTTCCTCTACTTAATTCATCCCTTTGTTTTATCCAAAAAAATGAAATAGAATAATTCTGTGGAAGAGAAAAGAAGTGTGTATCTGTGTATGTCCATCTGTGGTTTACTTCCTTAGATCAGCAATTATAAGAAAAACAAAGCATGTTTTACATTACAAATTTGAAAACTAAGTGAATAATGTATTTAATATTATCTCTCTACAGAGAAACAATTTAGGCTTACAAAATGAATGTAATTATCCCAAAATAAATCAAGACATATTTTAATCCCTGGGGGAAAATGAATACATTAAAGTTTATGAAAACTAGTTGATGCTTTCTAATGTTATTATATGCTTTCCAATTTTTGAAACTGATATCACATATTAAAAATATGTAGTTTATATAGGATTTGATGTTTCTATATTTTGGATTCTTATATATATAAAGATAGCATGAAAATCACATACAAATTGAGATGGTTAATTTTACCTGTAAACTTGACTGGCTATGGGGTATGCAGATTAAATATTATTTCTGAGTGTTCCTGTGAGAGGGTTTCCAGATGAGATTAGCATTTGAATCAATGATCACAGTCAAATAGGTTGCTTTCCCTAAATAGAACAAAGGGCAAAGGAAAGAAGAATTTACCCCTTCTTTCCAGCCTCACTGAGCTGGGACATTTCATCTTATCTTCTCTGGACCTTAGCCTGGCCTGGAATTTACACCAGCAGCTCCCCAGGTTCTCGGGCCTTTGGACTCAAGATTGAATTACATCATTCTGAGTCTCCACCTTGCAGAAGACACATTGTGGGACTTGCCTACCTTCGCAGTTGCGTGAGGAAACTTCTTATAATAAATCTCTCTCTGTCTTTCTCTCTCCCTCCCCCACCTTGTGTAAACATATGTATGTGTATACATGTATGTATTTATGTACACTTTTTCTATTTGTTTGGAGAACTCTGACTAAAACAAAAATATATCTAGACACCTATTCAGCACTTTCTGTTCATCAAAGTCAATTTAGATGCCTGGAATACAAAGACCAGCTTTTTTTTTTTTTTTTTTTTTTTGAGATGGAGTCTCGCTCTGTCGCCCAGGCTGGAATGCAGTGGCACGATCTCGGCTCACTGCAAGCTCCACCTCCCGGGTTCACACCATTCTCCTGCCTCAGCCTCCCGAGCAGCTGGGACTACAGGCACCTGCCACCACGCCTGGCTAATTTTTTTGTATTTTTTTAGTAGAGACAAGGTTTCACCGTGTTAGCCAAGATGGTCTCAATCTCCTGACCTCGTGATCCGCCCGTCTCAGTTAAACCAACAACAACAACAACAACAACTTGCACATAAGGAATTCACATTCTTGATGTCTACATATATTTTATGCATTGTTCAACAAAATATTGGGGCAGATTTTAATAAAAAGATAACAAAATTTATTTATGGGTATAGAAATATATTTTATGAATATATATTTATACTGTATAGAGAGAACCAGATAGTCAAATCAAGTGAAAATAAATTAGAATACAACATTAGGAACAGGTGGCAATGTGTAGTGCAGAGTGTAGAGTAGCAGTAACAAAAATAGATTAGAAAAGTGCTACTCAGATTTACAGGGTTTCAAAGACCAATAAATATGATTTGTAAATAGAAGTTGAAAGTCTAGGTGGCAAAATCAAATAAAAAATTGAATAGGTACCATAATTTTTATTATTCATGATTATTCATATTATTTTAATTATGATTGCATTCTAGCTCTAAGCCTGACTTAGATGTAGGTTCTTTAGTTATTAGAAACCTGATACAGAGAGTAGCAAGCTGAGAAAAATTAAAGACAAAAATAAAATTTAAAAAAGACAAAGTATTTTGTAATTCAAACAACAAAGAAGAGAACCCCTTATTTCTGGCCCAATCAAAATTTGTTTTTAAGAAATGGAAGAAGCAATGCTTCTATGAAGCCCCTTGATTTTGCCAGTGCCTTTTACATTTGAGTTGATTTGGTAATGGCATCCTTTAAATGGAAGGCCTTGTTAGACACTCAGGCCTGGATTGATGAAGACACACGTGCCTAGTCCTGAATCCACCTCAATCTGGCCATGTGATTTCAGATGAACTGCTTGCCTTCCTTACCTCCACAATCTTAAGTTTCTTCAGGTGTAAGATGAAAGAAAGAAGCTCAGTGACCTTTGAAAGTACTTTAGGGCCGGGCGCGGTGGCTCACGCCTGTAATCCCAGCACTTTGGGAGGCCGAGGCGGGCGGATCACGAGGTCAGGAGATCGAGACCATCCCGGCTAAAACAGTGAAACCCCGTCTCTACTAAAAATACAAAAAATTAGCCGGGCGTAGTGGCGGGCGCCTGTAGTCCCAGCTACTTGGGAGGCTGAGGCAGGAGAATGGCGTGAACCCGGGAGGCGGAGCTTGCAGTGAGCCGAGATCCCGCCACTGCACTCCAGCCTGGGCGACAGAGCGAGACTCCGTCTCAAAAAAAAAAAAAAAAAAAAAAAGAAAGTACTTTAGGCCCTAATAATTTACAATTCTATTATTCTTCGCCTTCTGATCTGACAGAGCTTTCCCTTTATAAGTTCCGAATGTTCCTAGAGAATGCATTGAGAAACATGCTCTGATTCTGTATGGGAGCAACTGTAGAACTCTTGGCCATTCAGTATGAAGTTTTTAGCTAAAAAGTTTTCCCTCTAGCAATGCAATCCCAGATTTAACAGGACCTCTAATTTTTACCTTCTTGCAAAGGCATTTTTGTTCTTTGTACTTAAAGAAACTGTTCCCATTAAATTGTTTCAAAGCCCAGAAAATAAGCCAATTCTTGGTACTTTAATGCTATAATCATCAGTCATCTTTAAAAAATGTCATCAGGACAAACGAATACCATAAATGACCTAACTACACAAGAGAGTTCCTAAGGAAATGGGAATTTTTTTTTTTGCTTTAAATACTTTATTTTTTTTATTTTATTATTATTATACTTTAAGTTTTAGGGTACATGTCCACAATGTGCAGGTTAGTTACATATGTATACATGTGCCATGCTGGTGTGCTGCACCCATTAACTCGTCATTTAGCATTAGGTATATCTCCTAATGCTATCCCTCCCCCCTCCCCCCACCCCACAACAGTCCCCAGAGTGTGATGTTCCCCTTCCTGTGTCCATGTGTTCTCATTGTTCAATTCCCACCTATGAGTGAGAATATGCGGTGTTTGGTTTTTTGTCCTTGCGATAGTTTACTGAGAATGATGATTTCCAATTTCATCCATGTCCCTACAAAGGACATGAACTCATCATTTTTTATGACTGCATAGTATTCCATGGTGTATATGTGCCACATTTTCTTAATCCAGTCTATCATTGTTGGACATTTGGGTTGGTTCCAAGTCTTTGCTATTGTGAATAGTGCTGCAATAAACATATGTGTGCATGTGTCTTTATAGCAGCATGATTTATAGTCCTTTGGGTATATACCCAGCAAATGGGAATATTTTTTAAAAATAAAAACAATGGATACAATATATCATTTTGCTGCCTCTACAACTTGTCTTTTATCTAATGGAAGACCTATTATTTTCTTTCCTTGCTAAAAAAATAGACAGATAAAAAAAATAAATAGCCCAAGTTCTAATTCAGCCTTTAATATCTTTTTTCTCCTGAAGTCCATACAATGAATACAATTTATGCTAACACCTACAGAGACATACCACAAAGATGAAAGGGTTCTGTTTGAAAAAAAAAGAATTTTATCTTCCCACATAGGAAGAGTTTAGTCTTGTTTCCAGAAATGCAGTATCTACAAGCTTTGTGAAGAGGAATGTTGCTTGGGGGAAAGGAAGATATTTATACTTGGACATTTCCTACTAATTTATGGCTGACCATCCACTGAAATACTTCAAACGCTTCACCTTTATATCCCTTTTGAGAAAAGATGGAGCACGAATTTTAAAAATTGCTTTCTGCACATAAAGTATTATCCAAAACTGCAAAAGTATTAACATGTATTTATAAGCAATGAAATGGAAAAGTTACTCACTGTAAGAAACCAGTCCTGTCTCTAGATTCCTAATGATGAACTTATTAAGATATTTCTCATGGATAAGATACTTAAGTATCGGTTCTGAAATGAGAATAATAATTATTTATCAGACTAAAAAGAATAAAATGAACTTTTAAGGTTTTGCTTAGTTTTAGGACATGTGATATCCTTCAGTAAAAACTGTGTAGCAGGATATACATTTTCCTGATTTCTCAAAGATTTAGGTAGCATTAAGTTGATCTTATGGTGTCAATTGCAAAAAGGAAAGAGTGCCAAATACTTACTTTTATTAGTAATAATTTGATTGTCCTTTGAATTACATGCTTATTTACATATTAATTCATGTACTCAGTAAATATTTATTCCGTGCCTGTTTCTATTTTTTCGCTATGGTCATGCTATCCCTTTTCTCATTTTGTTTTTGATACTTTAAAACACATAACATTAGGTAATATCTTTTTCTGTTTTTTTTTTTTTTAGTTTTCTTTTTTTTATTATTATTATACTTTAAGTTCTACGGTACATGTGCACAATGTGCAGGTTTGTTACATATGTATACATGTGCCATGTTGGTGTGCTGCACCCATTAACTCGTCATTTACATTAGGTATATCTCCTAACGCCATCCCTCCCCCCTCCCCCCACCCCACAAGAGGCCCCAGTGTGTGATGTTCCCCTTCCTGTGTCCAAGTGTTCTCATTGTTCAATTCCCACCTATGAGTGAGAACATCTTAAGTGTTCTAACTGACCTGTAAATGACAGTCTGTTTCTCAATTTGATCTTTGTTTTCGATAAGAATAAGTGCTGTATCTTTTACTTATTTTGAGTTATTACTACCACTGCTTATATGGCATACTGTGAGTTGTTTCTTACTGTCCCACCCCTTTTCTTCCTTATGAAAACAAACAGCTTAATTTTAGCAGAGCTAAAATAATGTATTTTCAAGTCTCACTTAAAGTTAGATGTAATGATGGGATTACATGACAGACAAAAAATGTATAGGAAAATACAATTTTGTACCATTAAGAAAAGAGGAAAACTAGCAAATAGTTTCTTCTTTTGTTAATGACAGCATAATTTATATAATATTAACATGCTGTCAATAACCAGCATGAATTTTAGGTATATAGTCAGTTCTCAATATTCCCAGTATTAATGTTTATAAAGTTGCTGTGAATACAGAATTAACAGATACTGAATCATTGTTACTATGGTAATATGTAAATAGATAAATTTATATCTGTATATATATGTGGGTACAAATAAACATGCATATCTCACATAGATTGAATCTAAAAACAAACAAACAAAAAAAAACAACTCATCCTGGTAGATTCCATTGTCTTTATTTTACAAAAGAATAAATGAGATTCAGAAATGTTAAGGTGACTTGCCTGAGACAGCGCCACTAACAGGTGCCAGAATTGGGATTCAAGTCCCATTCAGCTGGAAGAACTAAAGCTTCTTCCACTACTCTACATCAGCCTATACCAGCTCCAACTTCTGGGAAAGCTGAAAACAGAAGGCAAAGCATGCCCTCGTTAGACTTCAGCCAGAAACATGCACATTGGGCAAGTCAAATTTATCATTGTTCTGTGCGTGTCTGCTAACTACCTAGAAATTGACAAGTATTAATTTAGGGATTACAAACAAATTTTAATGTGTAGAATAATTTGCAAATACAGAATCTGCAAAAAGTGAGGTTAGACTGTATATACTGTTGAAGGCACTGGATAGAAAGCAAAAACAGGCAGACACTGGAAGAGATTGCCACTGAAAAAAGGAATTACATTGGAGAGCATACACATTTATCTGCAAAAAACAGCATTCTTATTCATCTGAAAAGGTAGAGGTCAGAATTTACTGCTACCAGAGCAATTGGAAAATAAATGGGAACCTTCAGAAAATGAGAAGCCATAGTAGGAAAGCCAAAATATCTGCATAGAAATTTCCCTTATATCCTTCGATAAAATTCTTAACTGAGTAAGGCAAGAGTGTGATTAAGCCCAGCAGAAATAAATAGGAATGCTAAAGGGTCTAAACAGAGATTTTGGAAACTCTGGAGTAAAATAAATTAAAGTTGAGAAATAAATTTTTCCAGCTATATCATAAAACCAGTAATATTAAATGAAGATCTGTAGGAAAAAGAAAAATAATACCGATGAAAATTCATATCTAGAGGAGGAATGATAAAATGCTAAATATATGATAAAATATAATTTATTGTTTTGCTTTCTTTTTTAGATACTGTAAAGAAAATCAGTTAATTAAAATATTTATAATAATGGGTTCTCAGACATATATGGTTTAAATAAAATGCATGAAAACAATAGCAAAAGTAATGGCATGAGGAGGTTAAATGGAATTATAAGGCTAATAGAAAACAAATACCAATACAGTAAACTTAAACCAGATGTATCATTAATTGCATTACAATTGACGGACTAAAAACTCAGAAAAACATGTATTGACAGACTGGATTAAAAAACCAAGAAATAAATATGTCCGTATGTTGTTTACAAAAATACTCACAAAACTTTGAATATAAAGACAGGTAAAATAATAGACTATTATACTATAAAGAATGTAAAGTAAAATATTTAGAAAATATATTTCATGCAAACACTAATGGGAGAAAAAGCTGGCCTGGCTAGGTTTATCAATAAGAATTAAGAAAAGAATGTCACAAGAGATGAAGAAGGTCATTTCAAAATAAAATCAAGCAATAGATCATTAATAAGATCTAACAATCCTTAATGTATACACAGCTAATGACATAGTGAAAATTAATACAATGAAAGGAAAAGATGAACGAATTCACATGGTTGGAAATTTTAATAATTCATTTTTAGGAATTGATGAAAAAAGACATAATTAAGTAAGAAAATAGAATATTTTAATATTACTATTAACGGACTTGTTCTCATTGATATTTATGGAACACTATGCTAACAATTGCTGGATACATAATGGTTTTCAAGTGGAACCATTTACAAAGTGAGTCCTAGTCTGAGGAAATCACAATAAATTTTAAAGGATTTAAAAATATAGTCTCAACCTCTGACTACTTGGAGTTAAGTTACAAATCAAAATGAAAAAATACCCAAAACAAACAAATATTTGACATTGAGCAGAACTTCCAAAGATCACACATGTTAAAGAAAAATAAGAGAAAAATAGGTGGAACTACTTTGAAGTGAAAAAATTAAAAATAATTAAACTACAACATATCAAAATGTATAGGATATAGCTAATGCAATTCTTAGAGGGGAATTTATTTTTATTAAGATCTTATAACATTAAAGAAGAAAAACAAGATAATAATAAGATTTCTTTGTATCTGTCTAGTTAAAGAAACAATCAAACCAAGGTGAGTAGTAGTAGTCAAAAATAAAGAAAAGAAATCAATAAAATACAAAGAAAACCTAAATAAACAAATATTGACTATCTAAAATACTAATAAAATTTATATATTCCTGGACATAATAATCATAAAAATAAAAAAGAAAAAACATGAATGAACTATATCAGAAATGAAATAAATCATTATATATCCTTGTATTAGTCTGTTTTCATGCTGCTGATAATGACATTCCCAAGACTGGGTAACTTATAAAGAAAAAAGGTTTAATGGACTCACAGTTCCACGTGGCTGGGAAGGACTCAAAATCATGGTGAAAGGCAAGTCTGACATGGCAGCAGGCAAGAGAGAATGAAAGCCAAGTGAAAGGGGAAACCCCTTATAAAACCATCAGACCTCATGAGACTTATTCACTACCACGGGAACAGTATGGGGGAAACTGCCCCTATGATTCAATTAACTCCTACCGGGTCCCTCCCACGGGAATATGGAAGCTACAATTCAATATGAGATTTGGGTGGGTACATAGCCAAACCATATCAATCCTAAACAAAACTGAAGGATAGAAGAGATTATTATGAACACAATTGTAACAGTAAATTAAACAATTTATATAAAATTAACAAAGTTTTCAGAAAACGACTTACCAAAACTGACAAAAGATGAAACAGAAAATATGAATACATGTATATGTTAAAATACAATAAGTTATCCAAAACTTGCAATATTCAAAACCATTTCATGACTTTAAAAAATGAAAAACTCTCAGCAGACCAAGAAAATAAAGGGCATCTACCAACGGAAAGAAGAAAGGAAAGAAAGAAAAAGAAAAAAGAAAGAAAGAGAGAGAGGAAAGAAAATAGAATGATAAAGAAAGAAAGAGAAAGAGAAGGAAAGAAAGAAAGAAAAAGAAAGAAAGAAAGAAAGAAAGAAGGAAGGAAGGAAGGAAGGGAAGGAAGGAAGGAAAGAAAGAAAGAAAAAGGAAGAAAGAAAGAAGGAAGGAAGGAAGGAAGGAAGGAAGGAAAGAAAGAAAGAAAGAGAAAGAAAGAAAGAAAAGAAAGAGAAGGAAAGAGAGAAAGGGAAAGGAAAGGAAGGAAGGAAGGAAGAAAGGAAGGGAGGGATAAGAAAAAAAGAAAAGTAAGAAATAGAGGTAAAGGAAACACTCTTACTAACAGCATCACAAGAATTGCCTCCTCAGATCAGGAAAAAAGGCACTTGCCACTTATTTTTAATATTGAACTGAAGGTCTTAACCACTGGAAAAGGCATGAAAGAGAAGTAAAAGTCCTGCAGATTGAAAGGATGCTGTCTTTATTGGCAAGCAACATATGATCTACGCTGAAAATCTCACAGAATCAATAAAATCAAGCCCTACAACTAATAAGTGAATTTAACAACGCCACTATATATAAGGTCAAAGAAATTGTTACATTTTTGCCTATAGATTATCAATAATTTCAAAGTAAATTACAAAAATATACAGTTTACTGTAGGATCACACACACACATGCAAAATGAAACAATTAAAATTAACAAACTCCTGCGGGACCTGTGTACTAAAAACTACAGAAATTTGCAGAAAGAAATTAAAGACATACTTGAATAAATATGTCATATTCAGAGTTGGCACATTCAGAGTTGAGATTTCAATTCATTCTCTGCCAGTTTATATTTTTAATGCAATACAAATCAAAATCCAGCAAGCTTTTTTTAATTGACAATTTCTAAAATTTATATGTAAATGCAAATAGCATAGAAGAGAAAACAATTTTGTAAATGAACAAAATTGAAAGATTTATACCACTGGCTTGCTATGTTGCAACAGTAATTAAAATAGTTTGATATTCACATAAGGATGAACATATAGATTAATGGATTAGAATAAAGAGGATCAAAATAGTTCTAAACGTGGTTATTGATTTCAACAAAGGTGCCAAAGTTTATTCAATAAGGAATAGGAATAGTCTATCAAATGATGCTGAAATCATTGACTAACTTTATAGAAAAAGAAAAAGTAAACCTCAACCTATGTTTCATACCACACACAAAAATTTACTGTGAAAAGATTATATATCTAAACTTAAAGGCTAAAACTATTAATTGTCCAGAATTAAATAAGGAAGAATCTTCTATGGCTAGAAAAAATGTATCTTAGATGGCAGAAAATGCACAAACTATTAAAGAAAACAATCATAATTAGGATTCAACAAAATAGAAATTATCTATTTTTCAAAAGACACAATTAAGAAATAAATAAAACAAACAGCAGAATGGAAGAAAATTGCATCCAGAATATATAAGAAAATTTTAAGCCTCAATGCATACTGATACCATGCAATAAGAATACAGGCAACCTAATGTAAAGGGGCAAAATATTTGAGCTGGAACTTTAAAAATATATGAACAATTGGGACATGAAAATGAGCTTAACAATATCAATCATCATGGAAATGTGAACAAAAACCATGAAACCATGAAACATCACTATAAATCACCAGAATTAGAATTCTGGAATTTGAAAGAGACAATACCAGCCTCATTGATTTGAAGCTTCTGGAACTCTCATGCACTGTTGGTGGAAATGTAAAATGGTGCAACCACTTCAAAAATAATTTGTCAGTTTCTGATGCAGTTACACCACCTCGCTGTATGAATTACTCAGTCTATTTTTAGTCAATTACATGAGAAATAAAAATATATTCTCATATAACAACTTCTACAAGAATATATACATCAGCTTTAATCATAATAGTCCAAAGTTGGAAAAAACCCAAATTTTCATTTACAAGTGAATCAACAAACTATATTCATGTAAGGGAATAATATTAATAAAAGAAAAATAATTTATTCTGATGCATATTACTACATGAATGAGTACACACTATTAGATATCATTAATATAAAATTCTACAGTAGCAGAGCTAAACTGTAGCAAAGCAAATCAGTGGTTACCTGGGGCAGTGGCTATGGGAATTGACTGCAAAGGGCAAAAAGGAATATTCTGAGATGATAAAAATATGTTATATCTTTATCTGGTGGTAATTCCATGTCCATATATATTTGTCAAAATTCATAAAACTGCATATTTATCATCATTGCATTTTATTTTATAAAAATTTTGCCTCAATATACTTGAATAAAAACAAGTATACACAATGTTTTAAGTGCAACTTTACAAAATATAGACACAATCGAATGGTGATGTTTCAATCTTTTTTTTTCCATTGAAGAATTAGAAAATAAATAAAATATCTCACTGGCTAACGACAGAGATTAGAAACCTGAAGATACATATTCTTAATCAGAAAATCAGATGGATAATATAGGTAAGATTTCAATTGAATCTTTCTAATTATTAAAAAACTATCAGTAACATCAGAGTTTCAAGGTGAAAAAATAAACAAAAAATAGTACTGTAAGAAAGAGGAGAAACAGAAAGATATAGGAAGCAAAGGAGAGAGGGTAGAAGAGCCAGGAAGGAAGTGAAAGCAAAGGTGGGAGCAAATACGGGGAAAAGAAAGAAAAAGAAAGGGTGAGAGACAGAGAGAGAAGGGAGGGAAGGAGGGAGAAGCATTAAGGTAGAGAAGGAAAGAGGAGATGAAGGGAGGAAAAAAAACAGGAAAACAGGAGATTAGAACAGAGTGCAGGGGAAAGACTGCTATTACAATGTTGTGTTTTTAAAGTAATTCATAGTATTTACTGCATCCTACGTAAAAACTTCACTGAACCTCTCAAATATATAAAAATACCATGCATCAGTTTCCAAAATTTTTTCCAATGGAATTAGTTGTCTTTTACAGATGTGATATATGTATACGTACACACATACACACACACACACACACATTAAGAATTTTCTTTTACTTCTATTAAAAAATTGAGTAATTGATTTTAATAAGATATAAGAATGGGTACTTTAGGGGATGAGAGGATCATCTGACCCCCATACAAAACCAAACAATATATTTATTCTTAAGGGGTATACAGCATATTAAGGTTATTAAGTGTTTAATTGTAATTTTCCATTCCATAACTTTCATCATAATAATCATAAATAGTATAGTTCACCAATATTGTTTTAATTTTCAAGAAATTAGTGAAAGGCTAAATGTTGTGGCTACATAGGATTTGTGAGTTTTTTTTATATAATTAAGTTCTGGGGTACATGTGCACAATGTGCAGGTTTGTTACATACGTATACGTGTGCCATGTTGGTGTGCTGCACCCATTAACTAGTCATTTACATTAGGTATATCTCCTAATGCTATTCCTCCCCACTCCCCCGACCCCGCAGCAGACCCCAGTGTGTGATGTTACCCACCCTGTGTCCAAGCGTTCTCATTGTTCAATTCCCACCTATGAGTGAGAACATGCGGTGTTTGGTTTTCTGTCCTTGCAATAGTTTGCTCAGAATGATGGCTTCCAGCTTCATCCATATCCCTACAAAGGACATGAACTCATCCTTTTTTATGGCTGCATAGTATTCCATGGTGTATATGTGCCACATTTTTTTAATCCAATCTATCATTGATGGGCATTTGGGTTGGTTCCAAGTCTTTGCTATTGTGAATAGTGCCACAATAAACATATGTGTGCATGTGTCTTTATAGCAGCATGATTTATAATCCTTTGGGTATATACCCAGTAATGGGATGGCTGGGTTAAAAGGTATTTCTAGTTCTAGATCCTTGAGGAATCGCCACACTGTCTTCCACAATGGTTGAACTAGTTTACAGTCCCAGCAACAGTGTAAAAGTGTTCCTATTTCTCCACATCCTCTCCAGCACCTGTTGTTTCCTGACTTTTAAATGATTGCCATTCTAACCGTGTGAGATGATATCTCATTGTGGTTTTGATTTGCATTTCTCTGATGGCCAGTGATGATGAACAATTTTTCATGTGTCTGTTGGCTGCATAAATGTCTTCTTTGGAGAAGTGTCTGTTCATATCCTTTGCCCACTTTTTGATGGGGTTGTTTGATTTTTTTCTTGTAAATTTGTTTAAGTTCTTTGTAGATTGTGGATATTAGCCCTTTGTCAGATGAGTAGATTGCAAAAATTTTCTCCCATTCTGTAGGTTGCCTGTTCACTCTGATGGTAGTTTCTTTGGCTGTTCAGAAGCTCTTTAGTTTAATTAGATCCCATTTGTCAATTTTGGCTTTTGTTGCCATTGCTTTTGGTGTTTTCGACATGAAGTCCTTTCCCATGCCTATGTCCTGAATGCTATTGCCTAGGTTTTCTTCTAGGGTTTTTATGGTTTTAGGTCTAACATTTAAGTCTTTAGTCCATCTTGAATTAATTTCTGTATAAGGTGTAAGGAAGGGATCCAGTTTCAGCTTTCCACATATGGCTAGCCAGTTTTCCCAGCACCATTTATTAAATAGGGAATCCTTTCCCCATTTCTTGTTTTTGTCAGGTTTGTCAAAGATCAGATGGTTGTAGATGTGTAGTGTAATTTCTGAGGGCTCTATTCTGTTTCATTGGTCTATATCTCTGTTTTCGTACCAGTACCATGCTGTTTTGGTTACTGTAGCCTTGTAGTACAGTTTGAAGTCAGGTAGCATGATGCCTCCAGCTTTGTTATTTTGGCTTAGGATTGACTTGGCAATGCAGGCTCTTTTTTGGCTCCATATGAACTTTAAAGTAGTTTTTTCCAATTCTGTGCAGAAAGTCATTGGTAGCTTGATGGGGATGGCATTGAATCTATAAATTACCTTGGGCAGTATGGCCATTTTCACGATATTGATTCTTCCTATCCATGAGCATGGAATGTTCCCCCATTTGTGTCCTCTTTTAATTCATTGAGCAGTGGTTTTTAGTTCTCCTTGAAGAGGTCCTTCACATCCCCTGTAAGTTGGATTCCTAGGTATTTTAGTCTCTTTAGCACAATTGTGAATGGGAGTTCACTTATGATTTGGCTCTCTGTTTGTCTGTTATTGGGGTATAGGAATGCTTGTGATTTTTACACATTGATTTTGTATCCTGAGACTGCTGAATTTGCTTATCAGCTTAAGGAGATTTTGGGCTGAGATGATGGGGTTTTCTAAATATACAATCATGTCATCTGCAAACAGGGACAATTTGACTTCCTTTTTTCCTAATTGAATACCCTTTATTTCTTTCTCCTGCCTGATTGCCCTGGCCAGAACTTCCAACAGTATGTTGAATAGGAGTGGTGAGAGAGGGCATCCCTGTTTTGTGCCAGTTTTCAAAGGGAATGCCTCTAGTTTTTGCCCATTCAGTATGATATTGGCTGTGGGTCTGTCATAGATAGCTCTTATTATTTTGAGATACGTCCCATCAATACCTGATTTATTGAGAGATTTTAGCATGAAGGGCTGTTGAATTTTGTCGAGGCCTTTTCTGCATCTATTGAGATAATCATGTGGTTTTTGTTTTTGGTTCTGTTTACATGATGGATTACGCTTATTGATTTGCATACGTTGAACCAGCCTTGCATCCCAGGGACGAAGCCAACTTGATTGTGGTGGATAAGCTTTTTGATGTGCTGCTGTATTCGGTTTGCCAGTATTTTATTGAGGATTTTTGCATAGATGTTCATCAGGGATATTGGTCTAAAATTCTGTTTTTGTTGTTGTGTGTCTCTGCCAGGCTTTGGTATCAGGATGATGCTGGCCTCATAAAATGAGTTAGGGAGGCTTCCCTCCTTTTCTATTGATTGGAATAGTTTCAGAAGAAATGGTACCAACTCCTCTTTGTACCTCTGGTGGAATTTGGCTGTGAATCCATCTGGTCCTGGACTTTTTTTGGTTGGTAGGCTCTTAATTATTGCCTCAATTTCAGAGCCTGTTATTAGTCTATTCAGGGATTCAAATTCTTCCTGGTTTAGTCTTTGGAGGGTGTATGTGTCCAGGAATTTATCCATTTCTTCTAGATTTTCTAGTTTATTTGCATAGAGGTGTTTACAGTATTCTCAGATGGTAGTTTATATTTCTGTGGGATCAGTGGTGATATCCCCTTTATCATTTTTTATTGCATCTATTTGATTCTTCTCTCTTTTCTTCTTTGTTAGTCTTGCTGGCAGTCTATCAATTTTGTTGATCTTTTCAAAAAACCAGCTCCTGGATTCATTGATTTTTTGAAGGGCTTTTTGTGTCTCTATGTCTTTCAGTTCTGCTCTGATCTTAGTTATTTCTTGCCTTTTGCTAGCTTTTGAATGTGTTTGACCCTGCTTCTCTAGTTCTTTTCATTGTGGTGGTAGTGTGTCAATTTTAGATCTTTCCTGCTTTCTCCTGTGGGCATTTAGTGCTATAAATTTCCCTCTACACACTGCTATAAATGGGTCCCAGAGATTCTGGAATGTTGTGTCTTTGTTCTCATTCATTTCAAAGAACATCTTTATTTCTGCCCTCATTTTGTTATGTACCCAGTAGTCATTCAGAAGCAGGTTGTTCAGTTTTCATGTAGTTGAGTGGTTTTCAGTGAGTTTCTTAGTCCTGAGTTCTAGTTTTATTGCACTGTGGCCTGAGAGACAGTTTGTTATAATTTCTGTTCTTTTACATTTGCTGAGGAGTGCTTTAATTCTAACTATGTGGTCAATTTTGGAATAAGTGAGATGTGGTGCTGAGAAGAATGTATATTCCGTTGATTTGGGGTGGATAGTTCTGTAGATGTCTATTAGTTCCGCTTAGTGCAGAGCTGAGTTCAGTTCCTAGATATCCTTGTTAACTTTCTGTCTTGTTGATATGTCTAATGTTGACAGTGGGTGTTAAAGTCACCCATTATTATTGTGTGGGAGTCTAAGTCTCTTAGACTTGTAGGTCTCTAAGGACCTGCTTTATGAATCTGAGTGCTCCTGTGTTGGGTGCATATATATTTAGGAAAGTTAGTTCTTGTTGAATTGATCCCTTTACCATTATGTAATGGCCTTGTCTCTTTTGATCTTTGTTGGTTTAAAGTCTGTTTTATCAGAGACTAGGATTGCAACCCCTGCTTTTTTTGTTTGTTTGTTTTCTGTTTGCTTGGTAGATCTTCCTCCATCCCTTTATTTTGAGTCTATGTGTGTCTCTGCATGTGAGATGGGCCTCCTGAATACAGCACACTGATGGGTCTTGACTCTTTATCCAATTTGCCAGTCTGTGTCTTTTAATTGGAGAATTTAGCCTATTTACCTTTGAGGTTAATATTGTTATATGTGAATTTGATCCTGTCATTATGATGTTAGCTGGTTATTTTGCTTGTTAGTTGATGCAGTTTCTTCCTAACATCGATGGTCTTTACAATTTGGCATGTTTTTGCAGTGGCTGGTACCGGTTGTTCCTTTCCTTGTCTAGTGCTTCCTTCAGGAGCTCTTGTAAGGCAGGTCTGGTGGTGACAAAATCTCTTAGCATTTGCTTGTCTGCCAAAGATTTTATTTCTCCTTCACTTATGAAGCTTAGTTTGGCTAGATATGAAATTCTGGGTTGAAAATTCTTTTCTTTAAGAATGTTGAATATTGGCCCCCACTCTCTTCTGGCTTGCAGAGTTTCTGACGAGAGATCCACTGTTAGTCTGATGGGCTTCCCTTTGTGGGTAACCTGACCTTTCTCTCTGGCTGCCCTTAATATTTTTTCCTTCATTTCAACTTTGGCGAATCTGACAATTATGTGTCTTGGAGTTGCTCTTCCCGAGGAGTATCTTTGTGGTGTTCTCTGTATTTCCTGAATTTGAATGTTGGCCTACCTTGCTAGGTTGGGGAAGTTCTCCTGGATAATATCCTGCAGAGTGTTTTCCAACTTGGTTCCCTTCTCCCTGTCACTTTCAGGTACACCAATCAGACGTAGATTTGGTCTTTTCATAGTCCCATATTTTTTAGAGGCTTTGTTCATTTCTTTTTACTTTTTTTTCTCTCAACTTCTCTTCTTGCTTCCTTTCATTCATTTGATCTTCAATCACTGACACCCTTTCCTCCACTTGATCGAATCGGCTACTGAAGCTTGTTCATGTGTCACATAGCTCTTGTGCCATGGTTTTCAGCTCCATAGGTCATTTAAGGTCTTCTCTATGTTGTTTATTCTAGTTAGCCATTTGTCTTATCTTTTTTCAAGGTTTTTAGCTTCTTTGCAATGAATTCAAACATCCTCCTTTAGCCTGGAGAAGTTTGTTATTACCGATCGTCTGAAGCCTTCTGTCAACTCGTCAAAGTCATTCTCCATCCAGCTTTTTCCCATCGCTGGTGAGGAGCTGCATTCCTTTGGAGGAGAGTAGGCGCTCTGATTTTTAGAAGTTTCAGCTTTTCTGCTCTGGTTTCTTCCCATCTTTGTGGTTTTATTTACCTTTGGTCTTTGATGATGGTGACGTACAGATGGAGTTTTGGTATGGATGTCCTTTCTGTTTGTTAGTTTTCCTTCTAACAGTCAGGACCCTCAGCTGCAGGTCTGTTGGAGTTTATTGGAGGTCCACTCCAGACCCTGTTTGCCTGGGTATCACCAGCGGAGGCTGTAGAACAGCAAATATTGCAGAACAGCAAATATTGCTGCCTGATCCTTCCTCTGGAAGCTTTGTCTCAGTGGGGCACCCAGTTGTATGAGGTGTCATTCGACCCCTACTGGGAGGTGTCTCCAAGTTAGGCTACTTGGGGGTCAGGGACCCACTTGAGGAGGCAGTCTGTGCATTCTCAAATCTCAAACTCCATGCTGGGAGAAGTGCTACTCTCTTCAAAGCTGTCAGACAGGGATGTTTAAGTCTGCAGAAGTTTTGCTGCCTTTTGTTTAGCTATGACCTGCCCCCAGAGGTGGAGTCTAGAGGCAGGCAGGCCTCCTTGGGCTGTGGTGGGCTCCACCCAGTTTAAGCTTCCTGGCCACTTTGTTTACCTACTCAAGCCTCAGCAATAGCGAACGCCCCTTCCCCAGCCTCACTGCCGCCTTGGAGTTCAATCTCAGTCTGCTGTGCTAGCAGTGAGGGAGGCTTTGTGGGCATGGGACCCTCCAAGCCAGGTGCGGGATATAATATCCTGGTGTGCTGTTTCCTAAGACCGTTGGAAAAGCACAGTATTAGGGTGGGAGTGTCCTGATTTTCCAGGTACCATCTGTCATGGCTTCCTTTGGCTAGGAAAAGGAAATCCCCGACCGCTTGCACTTCCTGGCTGAGGCAATGCCCCACCCTGCTTCGGCTCACACTCCGTGGGCTGCACCCACTGTCCAACAAGCCCCAGTGAGATGAACCCGGTACCTCAGTTGGAAATGTAGAAATCATCCATCTTCTGCATCGGCCATCTTGGAAGCAGAAGGTAAGATTTTTTAAAATCTCAGATTAAGGTGAGAAATAATTGTTCTATGGCATATTTACAAAACAAGTGTTTTGGTACAATATTTTTGTCTTTTTCTGAAGAATGTATGCCTAAAATGGGACAGAATCTTCAGTGAAAATATTTTAATAATATATGGTAAGTTAACATATTTCTATTATTGAGGGTAAGGGTAGCCAATGTGCCTTCTAAGAGGAAACTGGCTTGGGGAAGTTGCAACCAGTTCAATATCCTCAGCATTTCATAAGCAACATCCAAAATCTTCTTATTCCAAGTGTCATGATTCTAAGCCTTGATATTAGTCACATGTCTTGAGAGAAAATTGTGTAATTAAAACAATTCCGTTGAAACTTCCCTTTATTTATTTATTGTTGGTAGAAACTACAGGGAGATGTAATATTTTGTATTACTGATTTTTCATAGTAGAATTGCAAATACAGGCAAGATATTCATTTTTAAAATATCTTTCAACTCTCAACCAGATATTTCTCTGAATTTGATTATAGTCCATTGGTAGAATAAAACTGTAGAAATGTCAGAAATGGTGGGTATCAATAGGGAGAGGTAATAGCAGTTTAGAAAAATTTTATCTCTATGAATTGCAATTGTGTAATTCTATTTTCAGCTATATTCTGTAGATTTGCCATTCATCTTACTTTGTGCTGCCTACAAGCTCATTGCTTAGAGGAATAAAAACAAAGAAACGTAATGCCTTTTCTTAAGGTCTCTGAAGCATTTTTTTGGAGAAACTAACAAAAACTATTTTTTTTTCATTTTATGCTTTATAAAAAACACAGGTGATGTATACTTCAATTGCTCTATAAATATTGTGCATGCTATTGTCAAGAAAATAATAATTTAACCCATTGAAAGAAAACATATTCAAAAAAATTATCTCAGCTAGATAACTTTTGTTACTCTTAAGTGTATGCATGATATGGAGTGGAGAGGGAAGACTTGTGGCTATAATACATGTCCAATTTAACATGTATGCAATTGAATTAGCTTTTCACAGAGTGGGTCTTTATTTGTTTTATAGATAATCCAAGAGACCGTGGTCATTCTTTAGCAGGAACTAATCTTAACTTTAAAAATACTATCTGGACAGTCAACTATATAATCTTAAGGGGCTTCTGAAAATTGCTTAAAGTCTGTCCTCAAATTTGCAACTAGCCAAATGCCAATATGAGTTTTTTTTTTTTTTTTGCATGAGATAAGGCTTACACTAAAAAAAAAAAAAAAAAAGCTTGATACCTGAAATTACCATCTAGTAGTATCTTAACCAATCACTTCTCATAAAGAGACATAATACAGAAGTTAATCCTAAGGGAGTAATAAAATGCTCATCAAATATTTAATAAATAATTACTAAGCAAACACTTCATTTCAGGCACTACATGAGGTGCTTGAATGAAACTCAGTATAATTATGAACATAATGTCCCAACCAAGGGAATCTGCTACAGAGAAATGTCTTGTAAAGGCATTAAATTAGAAGTTTTGGAGGACACCAGAGAAAGAACTATGGAATTCATCATCTGATTTCCATTTGGTAAATTTTGTGATCAGGCTTAGATGAGTCTACAGATAGAGTTACCCAAAATACAAATAATAAAATTTCAAGATAGTCTACAGCTGCTGAAATTCATTCACTATTCCAAGAAGAAATGCATCTGCCCTATTCCTTTTCATACAAATATAATTGTAATAAGGTTTGGTGCATATTTATAATTTTCCCCTTCATTGCATACTATTTTGAAAGTTTTCTCTTGATCTGGGTCTGGAGGACACAAAAAATCCCAATTTTTACTACATTACCTGTTTGAATCACAGATCACCTCCCTTTTATAGACCACATCAGTATTCTGCCCAATAAGTTTGGTATTAAGTAATCAGTTTGGCAGAGTCAATGTTTTCAAAGTTTAGTGCCATGTAAGTGTCTGCTATTTGTGCTTATTTTCTCAAGATATCTCGAAAACACATATGTGTCTTTCGGAGTGCTTAAATAAGAAAAGCATCCCTTAATACTTGTATATTATGCATGTTTCTATAAGTTACATAATTTCATCCTCCCAACATTTGAAAATATTATTATAAACTTAATTTTTTGCTATGGAAAATTTCATAAAATGAGTAAATATTTGCTTCATCTAGTTCCAACAATTATCAATTCACAGACAACAGGATAACATTGATATTGCCACCAAATCACTTATCATGGATCATTTTGAAACAAATACAAATCTTATTTCATTCATAGATATTTTCAGTGTGTACCTTTAAAGACTGTGATGCTTTTGTAATCATAAACACAATGCTTTTACCACACCTAAAATAAAAGTTATAATAATTGCTTAACTTTATCAATACCAGTCCATGTTCAAATTTCTCTGAATACCTAATTTATTTCAGTTTGTTTGCATCAGGATCCAAATATTGTCCATAAATTTCATTTCATTGGGCTTTTTCTTGCCTTACATATAATATATACATTCTCACCCCTTTATTTTTACTTGCAATTTATTTGTTGATGGTTCAAGTAATTTGTCCCATAAAGCTTTCCATAGTCTAGATTTTTCTAAGTACATCTACCACTGTAGTATTTTTCTGCTACTATATGTTCTGTATATTTGTTTTTAGATGTAAAAACATAAAGTTTTTAAAGGAATACATCATAGGTGTTACTGTATGGTTTCCTGAGGATGCACATTGTGAAATAATAAGAAATAGATATTTTGATCTCTAACATTAGTCCCTAGCATAGAGCTCCTAAACCCTTGTGACTTCCTGGGTTGATAAAATCATCTATGTTCTAATGAGGGGTCTCTTGGTGGGCTGTCAGATGAAGGCTGGTCACCAGAAAGACTACTATGTCACAAGGACTAGACATTGGTTATATTCCAATTATATTATTTATTTTTAAATATAACCCAAAATATTTTATGAAGATACCTCACTCATCAGTTATAGGCTTATACTAAGATATAGTTTATACAAGAAAAGCAAGATAAATGTTTGGCTTTTTAACCTTTTTCCAGTTGTTAAAAATAGTGAATTTGCCTCCTAACATTATCCAAAGATATTTTATTTATCATCATGAACTATTGCATTTAATCATATTTGTTGAATTCCAAACCCTTGTAATGGTTGCACTGTAGAAGATGAGTTGGTTGTAGAGGAAGAATGTGGCTAGTAATAGAATCTGCAGGACTTTTAGGTGACTCTAGGAGCATGTGATTGCTATGAACTGAATTGTGTCCCCTCAAAATTCATATGTTGAAGCCCTAATCCCCATTGTAACTAAATTTTGAGATAGGGCTTTTATGAGGTAATTAAGGTTAAATGAAGTTATAAGCGTTGTGTCCTAACCTGATAGGACTGGTGGCCTTATTAGTAAAGGAAGTGATCTCTCCTCACCCAACTCTATATGCATGCACTGAGGAAAGGTCATGTGAAAACATATCAGGAAGGCAGCTGTGCAATCCAGGAAGAGAGCCCTCACAAGATACCAAATTTGTTGACACCTTAATCTTGGATTTCAGCCTTCAGAACTGAGATAAATTTCTGATCTTTAAGCTATCCTGACTATGGTATTTTTTATGGCAGCCAGGATCAACAAATACAGTGATAGAATAGACAAGATTAAATAGTAGCAACTCTCCATTCATTCTATGAGACATAATATGTTAATTAGGAAGAAAAGTCACTTCGGTACGTGCAGCCCCTCCGAATGACTTCTTCCCATTCAGAGGGGACTTAGAATATTCTCTGGGTTGTTTCACAATTTCAGGTGCTCAACCATCATCAGTCAGTTCTCATATTGTCTCTTGGTTTCTGGATTAAGGTTCAATAATTTATTTAAAAAATATTTATTGAACATCACTTATTTTCCAGAGACTGGGCCACTTGTTAAACAGGAAAATATGTAGCCTACCCCTTACAGAGAAAAATAATCTGGTTGTTGTTCCTGACTCAATTACATGTATATAATTTTAGTGGCTCTAGCTTTTCAAATACTTTATTGCTCAAATTGGAGAGAGGGCATAGAAAAGGGGTAGATTATTGCGGTCTTTTCTTCTACATGTAGCATTAATGGTGGGAGTTCTGGACTACAGTTGCTGCATCCTAAATTCCTCTTCTCTCCATGGGGAAAGTCCATGAAACCTCATTTATTTCCTCTTTGAAATTTGCATTGAGATGGGAGTATGCCTAAGAACAAAAATACTAAATTACTTATGATTTTTTATTAGAAAATTGGTATTTGAATGATACAGGTACAGCTACTTCCTGTAGCTGTTCAAATAGACTGAGGAAATTCACTAGTAACATAGAAGCAAATCACTTTTGACTGAATAATATGTTCATTAGACTAAAAGAAATTCAATTCTCAGTCAGCACATATTTAGATGAGTGATCAATGTGCATTTGTAAATTAGTCATCCCTTGTTCTTTCTCTATAAAGACTGAAATCAATTATTGGCTGTGAAAAAAATGGAACTTTCATGAGATTTTTACCTTGGAGGATAGTGATAGACTGTTAGGTGTTTTAAAATATAAGCATTTGCTTTTATATTCTAATGAATATCTAGAAGTGGTATATTTTCAGCTCTTACTAGCAGAAAAACAGATCATCAGTTCAAGTTATATGTCATTTTCTGTTTCCAGTGTGTTTATATCCAACAAATGAAAGTAAAATGCTTTAGTGATAGGAAATGCATCTATTTTCTAATCAGAAAGGTGTGGGAGAGATGAAAGTATTGGCTACTGCTATCTCTGAATGGCTGTTATCATGCCATGATGTGACTATTTAAGTGGGGGAAACATAATAAGGAGAAGGAGATAAGCTATGAGTTAGAAGTGGATGAAAAATAGATATGTCACTCAGAATGTTTCTCAACATGCTACAAGCATCCAAACAGCAGAATAAATGTTTCTCAACATCCTACAAGCATCAAAACAGCAGAATAAATACACAGTAAAGAGCCCCAGTATCCCATATGATATGACATTTGACCTTTGCCATTTTACTTTTAAAATGGTTCCAATTTGGATAATAAATTATATCAATATAAAATATATACAATAATGTAAAGAGTAATTAGGTATAATTAATTCTAAATTAGCACATCTAAATTTTTCATCTAAAATTTTATTCCCAGGGAAGAAATTACCTTAAGAAAGTATTTGACTTAGTTTTGCCCTCTGACACTGCTATTGTCCTGACTTTTAATCTTCTGAACATTGAAATCCAAATTGTTGTCTTCTTCCCATATGAAACTCTTATTAAATGTTAAATTCCATCTTTATATTAGGTCAAATATATACCTTCCTGTAGCTGTATTTCTTAACATTATACTTGGCAAAGAGGATCAGTTCAATTCTGTTCTTCACTCTGTTATAGAATAGATTAGATATAAGCAACTGAGTAGGACAATAATATTTGATAATGCATATGAAGACTTATCTTGTTAGACAAGGGAGAGGGCCATCTGGGAAACATCCTGCATTTAGATTTCAATGATGCTTAGTATCCTGGTTATGTTATGACTAGTGATAGAACCCTGTGTAATTTCATTAACCTTTGTTAATGTCCGTTTCCCCATGGGTCAAAAAAAGTGAAAAAGAAAGATCGAGAGAGAGAAAGAAGGAAGGAAGGAGAGAGAGAGAGAGAGAAAAGAAGAGGAAGAGGAGGAGGAGGAAGAAGAAGCAGGAGGAGGAGGAAAGAAAGAAGGAAGGAAGGAAGGAAGGAAGGACTAACTTTTTCCTTATACAGAGTTTTTTTTAAAAAAAAGCAACAAAAGAAATGATTATGTTGCATGGAGGAGCTTACTAAATTTGTAGCATTTGGAGATGAATCTGCTTCTATCAGTTTTTATTTTATGGACAAGTATATTTAAATCTATTGAAAATTTTAAAACCATCTTTAATTATGTAATGACCAAGAACATGAGTTGGGCAGAAGAGAAATAGTTATTTGAAATTAAAAAGTCATCATTTCTTATTTCTCCTAATAATGTTCCCAAAATTCAGAATTAAGGAGCTCAGTGCACTGACTGCTGTGACCCAAGTAGCCTCAGGTCAGTTGATAGAAGCTAGAATTGTCACTAACTCCGGAAGTGCCCTTTGCCTCAAGAAGAGTGCTAAGAAGTTACTTTTAAAGCCAACATAAATTAAATGGTGTTTTTATACATATATTCCATACTCTTCATTTAAAAAAATTAATTTTTGTAGGTATATATCAGGTGTATGTATTTACGGGCTACATGAGATGTTTAGATACAGGCATGCAATGCATAATAATCACATTATGAAGAATGGGGTATCCATCTCCTCAAGCATTTATCCTTTGTGTTACAAAAAATTCAAATATGCTTTTTTATTTAATTTAAATTGTAAAATTAAGTTATGATTCACTATAGTCACTCTGTTCTGCTATCAAATGTAGGTCTTATTCATTCTATCTTTTTGTACTCATTAAACATTCCCACCTTTCACTTAACCTCCCACTTGCCTTCTCAGCCTCTAGTAACCATCCTTCTACTCCCTATGTCTATGAGTTCAACTGTTTTGAGTTTTAGATTCCACAAATAAGTAAGAACATACGATGTTTGTCTTTCAATGCCTGGCTTATTTCACTTAACATGGTGATCTCCAGTTCCATTCATGTTTTTGCAAATGACAGGATCTCATTTTTTATGGCTGAATAGTACTCCTATATATATTTATATATACACACATATATCACATTTTCTTTATTTATCTGTTGCTGGACATTAAGGTTGCTTCTAAATCTTAGCTATTGTGAATAATGCTACAACAAACATGGGAGTGGAGATATGTCCTGAATATACTGATTTCCTTTGTGCGGGTGGTATATACCCAGCAGTGGGACTACTGAATCATGTGATAACTCCATTTTTAGTTTTTTGAGGAAACTCCAAACAATTCTCCATAGTGGTTGTACAAATTTACATTCCCATCAACAGTGTATGAGAGTTTCCTTTTCTCTACATTCTTGCCAACATTTGTTATTGCCTCTCTTTTGAATATAAGCCATTTTAACTGGGGTGAAATGATATCTCATTGTAATTTTGATTTGCATTTCTCTGATGATCAATGATGTTGAGCATCTTTCCATAAGCCTATTTGTCATTTGTATGTCTTCTTTTGATAAATGTCTATCTAAATCTTTTGCCTATTTTTCGATTGGGTTATTAGATTTTTCCCTTTAGAGTTGTTTGAGCTCCTTATATATTCTGGTTATTAATCCCTTGTCAGATGAGTAGTTTGCAAATATTTTCTCTCATTCTGTGGGTTGTTTCTTCACTTTGTTGATTGTTTCCTTTGCTGTACAGAAGCTTTTTTAACTGATGTGATCTCATTTGTCCATATTTGCTTTGGTTGCCTGTGCTTGTGGTGTATTGGTCAAGAAATTTTTGCCCAGACCAATGTCCTGAAGATTTTCTCCAATTGTTTCTTGTAGTAGTTTAATACTTTGAGATCTTAGATTTAACTCCTTAATCCAATGTGATTTGACTTTTGTATATTTGAGAGATACTGGTCTTGAAGCTTTACTGAATGTATCAGTTCTAATAATTTTCATGTGGAATCTTAGGTTTTTCCAAATATAAGATTATATAATCTGCAAACAATGATAATTTGACTTTTTTCATTCCAATTTCGATGCCCTTTCTATCTTTCTCTTCTCTGATTGCTCTAGCTAGGACTTCTAGTATTATGTTGAAAAACAGTGGTGAAAGTGGACATCCTTGTCGTGTTCCAGGTCTTAGAGGAAAATGTTTCAGTTTCCCCCATTCAGTATGATACTAGCTATGGTTCTGTCATATGTGGTTTTAATTATGTTGAGATATGTTCCTTCTATACCGAATGTTTTAGGGTTTTTATCATGAGGGGATGTTGAATTTTATCACATGTGTTTTCAGCATCAATTGAAATGATCATGTGGTTTTTGTCCTTAATTCTGTTGATATGATGTATCACATTGATTGATTTGTGTATGTTGAACAATCCTTGCATCCCAGGGATAAATCCCACTTGGTCATAATGAATGATCTTTTTAATATATTGTTTAATTGTATTTGCTAGTATTTTTTTGAAGATTTTTGCATCAACATTCATCAGAGATGTTGGCCTGTAGTTTTCTTGACATGTTTTGAGACCTCCCAAAATGCTAAGATTGCAGGTGTCAGCCACCATGCCTGACCTAGTTCTTCTTTAAATGTTGATTCAAATCCAGCATTGAAGCCACTAGGTCCCAGGTTTGTCTTTACTGGAGAATTTTTATGGTGGCTTTGATCTCATTACTTGTTATTGGTCTGTTTAGGCTTTGCATTTCTTCATGGTTTAATTTTGGTAAGTTGTGCATGTCTAGTGATTTGTCCATTTATTTTAGATTTTCCTATTTATTGGCATATAGTTGCTTATAGTAGCCACTAATGATTCTTTGAAGTTTTGAAGTATCAACTATAAAGTCTCCTTTTCCGTTTCTGATTTTATTTATTTGGATCACTCTTTTTTTTCCTAGTTAGTCTGACTAAAAGCTTGTCAATTTTAACTTTTCAAAAAAAAAAAACAGATTTTTGTTCCATTGATCCTTTGTATTAATTTCTTCATTTCAATTTCATTTATTTTGCTCTAACCTTTATTCATTTTCTTCTAATAATATTTAGTTTGGCTTGTTCTTACTTTTCTTTAAGCTGCATCATTAGATTGTTTATTGAAGTTTCCCTCTTTTTTGATGTAGGTGCTTATAGCTATAAACTTCCATCTTAGTACTGTTTTTGCTGTATACCATTGTTTTTGGTATATTGTGTTTCCATTATCATTTGTTTCAAGAAATTTTTCAATTTCCTTCTTAATGTATTTATTGACCCACTGGTTATTCAGGAGCATATTGTTTACTTCCCATGTATTTGCATAGTTCCCAAAACTCCTCTTATGATTTATTTCTAGTTTTATTCCATTGTGGTCAGAGAAGATGCTTGACAAAATTTTGAATTTTTTGAATGTTTTATGACTTGTTTTGTGAAGTAACATATGGTCTATCCTTAAGAATGATCCATGTGCCAAAAAAAGGAATGTGTATTCTGCAGCCATTGAACAAAATGTTCTGTAAATATCTATCACATCCATTTGATAACTCTGATGCATTCTTCAGTATGCCAATTGCAAACTTCAGCTCCAGAATATCTGCCTGATTCTTTTTAATTATTTCAATCTCTTTGTTAAATTTATCTGATAGAGTTCTAAATTCCTTTTCTATGTTATATTGAATTATTTGAGTTTTCTCAACATAGCTTTTTTGAATTTTCTGTCTGACAGGTCACATATCTCTTTTTCTTCAGGATTGGCCCCTGTTGCCTTATTTAGTTCATTTAGTGAGGTCATGTTTCCTGGATAGTCTTGATACTTGTACATCTTTGTCTGTGTTTGGGCATTGAAGACTTAGTTATTTATTATAATCTTAACTGTCTGAGTTTGCATGTATTCCTTCTTCATGGGAAAGCTTTCCAGATTTTCTAAAGGAGTTGAGTATTATAATCTAAGTTAGACCTGCTTTACAAGGCACTCAAGCCAAGTAATGCTGTCGTTCTTGCTTACTTGTAGAGGTATTGTTCTGGACAGGACCAGAATGCTGTCCAAGAGCCAAGTCCTACATTTTGTCCTAAATGACAAGATTTAGGACAATTCTTTGAATTATCAGGCAGAGATTCTTGTTCTCTTCCCTTCCTTTCTTCCAAACAAATGGAGGCTCTCTCTCTGTCTCTGTTCTGAGCCACCTAAAGCTGGTGGTGGAGTGACACAAGGACCCCTTGTGCCACCACCACTATGACTACACTGGGTCACACCTGAAGCCAGCACAGCACTGGGGCTTGCCCACTGTCTGCTATAACCACTTCCTGGCTACTGTCTATGTTTTCTCAAGGTACTGGGCCTCTACAATCAGAAGCTGGCAAAGCCAGTCAGTCCTGTGTCCTTCCCTTCAGGATGGCAAGTTCTCACAGGCCCCAGGTGGGTCCTGAGTTGTCTGGGAGTTAGAGAGTTGAGTCAAAAACCTTAGAAATCTGCAAGGTGTTCTATTGTACTGCCACTGAGCTGGCACTCAAACCACAAGATTCAGTCCTTCCCACTCCTCTCTTCCATTTCCAAAGGCAGAGGAGTCTCACCCCACAGTCTAACCACACAGGCCCATGGGGAGTACTGCCAGACTACTTCCAATGTTCCATTAAGGTCCAAGGGCTCTTAAGTCAGTTCGTGCTGAATGCTGCCTGGCTTAGGACTCACCCTTCAGGGCAGAGGGCTCCCCTCTGACCCAGGACAGGACCAGAATGCTGTCCAAGACCCAAGTCCTAGAATCAGGAATTCCAAGAACCTGCTTGGTCTCTACCACTCTGTGGCCAACCTGGTACCCAAGGTTAAAGGCAAAGTTCCCTTTACTTTTCCCTCTGCTTTTCTCAAGCAGAAGCAGTTTTTCCTTGTAGCTACCACACCTGGGAATATGCTGAGTCTCACCTGAAGCCTGCAAGTCTCAAAGGCTCACCAAGGCCCTCAATGTAGTACTTGGATATCGCTGCTGGTTAATCAGGGCCCAAGGGCTCTTCAGTTAGCAGGTGATAAATGCTGCTAGAATTGGGTCCTTCCCTTTAAAGCAGCAGGTTCCCTTCTGACCCGAGGTAGCTCTAGAAATGTTATCCAAGAGCTAGGGCCTGGAATGAGGGCTTCATAAGTGTGACCAGTGCCCTATTCTGCTGTGGCTGAGTTGGTATTCAAGATACAAGACAAAGTCCTTCCCACTCTTCCTTCTCCTCTCTTCAAGTGGAAGGAAGGGGTCTCTTTTGGATCCACGGGTGTGCAGTCGGGTTAGGGGAGGTGTAATACCAATACTCCCTTACCTGCCCCAGCTGGTGTCCAGTAGGTCATGTCCCATCACCTATTCCTTGATCTGCTGGGTCTGAACCCAGTCCAGCACTAGGACTTGCCTAAAAGTTGTAGTCGTTGTGGCCTAGCCTGCCATTGAAGTTTGTTCAGAGCCCCAAAGCACTTTAGCTGGTGGTGATGAGGTTTCTGTGAACTCAAGTTCTGACTGCTAGGATGGGCAACTCCCCTCTCATAAGGCTCCTTCAAATGCTCCCTCCATGGGTGGCCATTAGCTGAGTTTGGTCTGGTTTTCCTTTTTTGCGCCAACAGGACAGCACTGAGTTCAATGTACCACGATTGACATGCTCTCCCTCCCACAGCACACAGAAATGCTCTCTGCACCAAGTGATAGCGACTAAGGGGTTGGGAAGGGTTGGCATCAGCCATTCAAGACTGTTTTTTCCTACCTTTTCAGTGCATGTTTCAGCAATGCAAAGTTAAAACCAGGTACTGTGAGTGTTCACCAAATTTTTTGCTCTTATGAAGGTGCTTTCTTGTGTAAATAGTTATTTAATTAGGGGACAATCAGTGGAGACTTCCCTTCCACCATCTTATTCCACCTCTAATAGGCCAAGCAGAGTCTTCCACATTGTGCAGCTTATTGGGCAACCTCCCCTTGCCCTGTTGTTACCCTTGGTGAAAACACAAGAAGAACCCTGGAAAAGGAGAAAGAAACCTGTCTCTCAAGTTAAAGAATCCTGAGGTGGTCTATCAGACATAACGCTGTACTAAGAATCAAACAATCAAAATCTGACATCATTACCCTGAACAACTCACTAATTTATTATTGAGCAGGTAGTTATTGAATTGTTCATCTGTTGCAAACACTTTGCAGGCATTGAGGATACATTTTGAGTAATATAAACAAAAATCCTGCTCAATCGAGTTTGCATTCTAGTGGAAAAACAGAACAAATGAGAAAACACATAAATTAATTTCAGAAAGTAAGTGCCACATAGCTAGTAAAGCAAAGTTTGATATAGAGACCCAAAAATGGAACAGAAGTGTTCCGTTTCAAAAAGATTGTTGAAGGCAGGCTTGTATGTTTTGACTGTGTCCTCACCTAAATCTCATTTGGAATTGTAGTTCCCATAATCCTCATGTGTTGTTGAAGGGACCAGGTGGAGAAAACTGAATCATAGGGGCAGTTTCCCCCATCCTGTTCTCATGATAATGAATTAGTTCTCACAAGATCTGATGGTTTCATAAGGGGCTTCCCCCTTCACTGGGCACTGATTCTTCTCTTGCCTGCCACTGTGAAAGACATGACATTGCTCCTCATTCACCTTCCACCATGATTGTGAGGCCTTCCCAGTCATGTGGAACTGTGAGTCAATTAAATTTTTCCTTATAATTAACCCAGTCTCAGGTATGCCTTTATTTATACATGTGAACAGATTAATACACAGGCCATTGAGGAATCAACATGTGAGCTGAACGTTGAAAGATATAGAGGACTTGGCCTCTACATGATACTAGGAAGGAAGATCTTTGCATACAGCGAGAATATCAATTATATATCATTAAAATGATACTTAATGGAAAATAAGTGATGACATGCAAATATCCTATTGATGCAGTATTGCAAAGGATTAAGCAGGATACAAAATTGTGTGTGTGTGTGTGTGTGTGTGTGTCCAGTCTACTTGACAAATATTCTTCTCTGTGTGAAAAAATTTTGAAAAGAACTTTGTACAATAAAAATGGTTGTGCTAAGGTATAGAATTATTGGAATGTTCCTCTATTTTTATTCTGAATAATGTAAAGTCAATATTCTATATTCAAAACTTTGCCCTAGAAGATGGTTGACTACCCTTCCCAGTCTCTAGTAATCACTATTCTACTCTTCACCTCTATGAGATCAACTTTTTTAGCTTCCACATATGAATGAGAACATGGGGTAATTATCTTTCTGTGCCTGGCTTAATTTGCTTAATTCTCTAGGCTCATCCATGTTTCACAAATGACAGAATTTCATTTTTTATGGCTGAATACTATTTCATATGTATATGTATTATATTTTCTTTGACCAGTCATCTATTGATGGACAGTTAGGCTGATTCTATATTTTAGCTATGAGCAATGAATATGGAGGTGGAGATATTTCTTTAATATACTGATTTTCTTTCATTTGGATACATATGCAGTAATGGAATTGCTGGGTTGTATGGGAGTTCTATTTTTAGTTTTTTGAGGAACCTCCATACTATTCTCCATAATGGCTGTACTTTTTTACATACCTTCCAACAGCATATAACAGTTTCCTTTTCTCCACATCCTTACCAGCATTTATTATTTCTTGTCCGTTGATAATAGCCATTCTAACAGGGATGATATCATATCTCCTTATGGTTTTTATTGGCTTTTCCTTGATGATTAATGATGGCTAGCATTTATATATATATAAATATATTATATTTATATATATTTATATATAAATAAATTTATATATAAATAAATATATATTATATAATATACAATACATAATTATATATAATATATTATATATAAATATATATTTACTGGCCATTTTTATGTCTTCTTTTGGGAAATGTCTATTCATATTCTTTGCCAATTTTAATAGGATTATTTGGATTTTTTCTGAGTTGAGTTCCTTGTATATTCTAGATATTTTTTCTTGTCAAAATATTTGAAGATATTTTCTCTCATTCTACAGATAGTCTCTTCACTCTGTAGATTGTTTCCTTTGCTGTGGAGAAACTTTTTAATTTCATATAGTCTTATTTATATATTTTTTGGTTTTTGTTACCTGTGCTTTTGAAACCTTACCCATAAAATCTTTACTTTAACGAATGTCCTGAAGGATTTCCCCTATGTTTTCCTCTAGGAGTTTTATAGTTTTTGGTATTAGATTTAAGTCTTCAATCCATTTTGAGTTTATTTTTGCATAAGTTGAGAGATATTGGTCTAGTTTCACTCTTCTGCATAGGGATATTCAGTTTTCCCAGCACTGTTTATTGAACAGGCTCTCCTTTCCCCAGTGAATATTCTTGGTGCCTTTGTCAAAAATATGTTGGCTATAAATATAAGGATTTATTTCTGGATTCTCTATTCTCTTTCATTTGCCTATGTGTCTGCTTTTAAGCCAGTACCACACTGTCTTGGTTATTATACCTTTGTAGTATATTTTGAACTCTGGTAGTGTGATGCCTCCAACTTTGTTCTTTTTTATCACAATTGCTTTAGCTCTTTAGAGTCTTTTGTGGTTTCCTATTAGTTTTAGAATTGTTATTCTCTTCCTGTGAAGAATGTCAGAAAGCTAGATGAGAGGATTTTGAATGCTTCCAAAACAAAAAAGATACATTTTTGAGGTGATGAATATGCTAATCACTCTGAATTGATTAAACATGGTATATATGTATTAAAATATCACTCTGTATTCCATAATATATACAATTATTATACATCCACTAAAAATAAATAATTGTCTCTACTCTTTTGAATATCTATAATGTAAATAATTCCCCTAAAGACCACATATTCTTCAAACAGTCATACTCAGTTTCCATAACATAGACATAAAACAAGGGAAATTGAAACTCATCATTATTGGTTATAGAACCCTACCTATATTTTAAATTAGTTCTTCAAAGTGACAAACAAACACACAGTGTTAACAGAATAGAAATAGTAACAAGGGGTAAAGACATCTTAAAACTAAAAGAAATTGTGTCAAAAATAGAGGTAATTACCCAACTCTAGGTTTTTTAAATTATTGTTTCTACCTACTTATTTCTTACAGTTTTGTATAGTCTCTTCTCTTAAACTGCATGGGAATTTATGCAACTAACATCTGAAAAAGATACTAAAACAATAACCAATTTTTAAACAATAGATTAATCAGTTCTGAATTATGAATTCTGATTGTCATGTCCATGGCATCAAGAAAATTTACTTGTTTGCGGAATTTTGTCCACTTGGGATTAGTTTATTTACCTCAAAACATATGGAAATATAAAATATAAGAAAAACCTGCCTTTAGCTATA